>NC_000001.11:54856865-55008380 GCF_000001405.40 Homo sapiens | reverse complement strand
GGAAGCGGTCCAGCGGGCACCTGCAGCCCTGAGGTTCCTGTTGTGGGGAACAAGCTTCCTCCCTGTCATGTGGAGATGCATTGGGGCTGCTGCCTTCACTGGAGTCCATGTCCAGGTCATCTTGGAAGGAAGCCAAGGGGGCAGGGCCCTGGGGACAGGCCAGGGGGCTGCAGGGACAAAGACCACAAGGGCAAGGGTATCTCTGAGTCAGAATGCCTGGGTCCACATTCCAGCCGCTAGCTGCAAGACCTAGGGTAGGATAATCCACCTTCCCGGGCCTCAGTTTCTTCCCAATAACAGAATTCACTCCTGCAGTTCTTTCTTAGGTTTACAGCAGATAATATGTGCAAGGCACTTTGCACAGTGCCTGGCACATAGAAGGTGCTCATGAAATAGGGCTATTACTATGCTATTATCTGAACCAGGTCACTCATCTACTTCTCCAATTATTCAGGGTTCTCCTCTGTTGCTCATAGGCCCAGTTACACTGAGGTGTCCCCGGGTGTCTTTGCCTCCCTCATTGGACTCAGAGCTCCTCAGGGGTAGATTCCAGTGAAGGCTGGGCAGGAAGTTGGTGCTCAGTAATGTGGATGGAATGAATAAGTACATGGATGAATAAGGAGCTCAGTTCACAAACAGACAGGGATGGGAGTGGAGTGGGGAGGGCCTTGCCCAAGGTCACAGAGCAGGTCAGCAGCAGACCCAAATTTGAACTCGGGTCCTCTGGCTCCTGGCCCCCTGCTACTCACGACAAGCATTCAGAGACATCAAGGGCCTACTGTATGCCAGGTACTTAAATGCACTGTCCCAACCCTCAACATTCCTGGGTAGTAGGAATGATCATCCCTGTGTGGGGAAACTGAGGCTAGGGAAAGTAAGGAACCTACCACAGCTACACAGCACAGGAGCTGGGGTTTGAACTGAGGCCTGACTCCCAAGCCCATACTCATTTGTCTGCCACATCTGCCACATCTCAGGGTGTCCCACACCCTCCACTGCCCTCTCCTTACCCCCAGTGTCCCCACCCACCCCTCGGCGGTCCCCCACTCCTCTCCTTTTTAACCCTTGAACTGGGCAGAAGCCCCACTCCTGCCCTCTAAGCACTCACCCGGGCCAGCTCTGAGTTAGGCGTCTTTCCCCTTCACTCTCGTCTGAGCCCTTGTGGATGACCACGGCAGCCTCCATCCAGGCCTGAACGTCGCCAGGGCCACCTTCTCCTCCATCACTGGTTCCCAGCTTCGGCTGCCCCATCTCAGGGGCCAGCAAGGAGCGGTGGTCCTCACTGTAGCTCATGACTTTCATCTGGATGTGGCTGAAGTCAGGCAGGCTCTGGTCATAGGCGGCTTCCTCCCACAGCCTTACATAGGGCGGCTGGGGACTGGGGCTGGAGTGGGAGAGAGAACAGGCAGGCGGCAAAGAGTCACTCAGCAAACACCAGTGTTCTCCCCGGCCCTGTTTGCTTTGGGTATGTGGTCTCCCCTCACCTCACAAGAAGCCTTTGGGGGATGTTACTGCGCCCGTTTCAGGGATGAGGAGGCTGAGGCCCAGCAAGGTGAGTTAATTAAGTGACAAAGCTCAGGCCTGACCCCAAGTCTGACTCTCTATCCAGTGTTTTTTTCACCTGATGCCTCCAAAGTTAACCACAAGGATGCAATTGCAAAATGAAGACCCGTTAACATTGAGTTTGCCGGGTCCCAGATGGTGGGTAAAGGCTGAATGCTTATCAACCCATTATTCTAAACATTATTCTAAAAAATGCCTTGAGGCAGAAATTCTCATTCCCAGTTTACAGATGAGGACATACCCAGCAATGACAGTCTACAGCAATGGGGAACTCCTTCCTGCCAGGCTCTGTTAGTTGGCTCATCTAACCCTCACCATAATTACAAGAGATACTATGAAGAAACTGAGGCACAGAGTCTCTAACAGACTTGTACCCGGGTGACATGGACCCTAGGTGATAGTACTGGAGCTCCAGATATCATGTTCTCTATGACTGTGCTACAGTCCCTCTGGAAAGTAAGGTTCAGAGACTAGGCCCCTTGCCTAGGGTCACACAGCCGGGAAGTGACTGGGAAGAGCTCAGAACCCAGGGTGGCCGGAGCCCCCACTGTATCACAGGAGCCCACCCCAAGTAACCGGCCCTGAGACGGAGCTCTGGCTGGCCTCCATACCCACAGGGTCTATCCCCTTCCTTCCCACTGAGGCAGTTGTTCACCTTGGGTGCCAGGGGCAGAAAACGCCATTATGAACCCCTTCCCCAAGCAAAGCAGAGATCATCCCTAACCCAGCCGACAGACTCTGGGCTTGAAGCCCGGCCTCCTGAGTGCAGAGTCACAGCCCAGGGGGTTGGTGGTCCCACTGCCTCTCCAGGGCTGGAGCATTCTTGGCTGTGCCATGGGAGCCAGGGCTCAAAACCTCCAGAGAGGGAAGCAGTTTGTGGCCAGATCAGGCCTGAATTCAGGCCCCGCCTCCATCACTGCTGAGTGCAGGCCCCGCCTCCACCACTGCTGAGTGCAGGCCCGGCTTCCATCACTGACTCCCCATGAGGTTTGGGGCTAGTGACTACACTTCTCTGAGCCTCAATCTTCCTAGCTGTATAAAGAGCCTAACACCCCCACCTTACAGGGTTTCTATGAGGACTGAGGGAGTCAGTGCCTGACTCAGTCTCTGGCACACAGAAGGCACTTACTAATGATGACAAACACTCATAGAAGACCTACTGTGTGTCAGGTTCTGTTCTTAGCACTCTGCCTATATTATCTCACTTAACCCTCCCTGAAGCCCTAGGAGATAGGTACTATTAGTATCCCCATTTTACAGACGAGGCAAAGAGAGGTCAGTAGCTTGCTGGAAGTCAGGCAGCGAGTAGGCGGCAAAGCCCTGAGGCTGAGCCTTGGCCACCACCATGCCTCTTGTTTGTCAGTAGTAGAAGCACTTACTCCTGTGACTCTATTGCACTGTATTTCTCACAGTACATTTATTTCATTGTATGATTTGTTTCATGGAGATCTTGTATTCACCGAAACACTGTCTCGTCCCTGACAAGACAAAGTCCCTGGGCCTCAGTTTCCTCATCTGTACAATGGGAATAATAATGCCTAACTCACAGAATTGAGAGTTGAAAACAGTCCATAATTTCTAATACATTCTCAGTAAGTGAGAAGGCAAACAGCCTTCCTGCCCTCCCTCTCACTCTCCTCAGTCAGGGGAGACTGGCCTATGGGGCTTACTCCTCCCCTCCCGAGAGGGCCTGGCACCTACCTCTTCATCTCGGCAGCAAGCCCATTCTCCAGCAGGCCCATGGCCTTTGGGGAGAGGATGCCTTGAAAGTCAGAGTCAGCAGGGACGAAGGTGATCTGCAAGCAAAGGAGAGACAGCCTCTGTGCAGTTGACCAGGGTAGGGGGGCTACTGTCCCCTCAGGGAATTGGCAAACCTCTCCATGAGCTCTGGGAGACAGGCTGCACCACGGAGGCCTCCCTGCTTGACAGGAGAGGGGCCTACTTGGGGCACAGCACCAGCGGGAGGATGGACCTCTGTGCTCCTGCTCCCTTCCTGGTTCTTCATTCACTCTACAAACATTTATTATCTGCTGTGTGCAGGCACTGTCGCAGGCACTAGGAGCAGCAAGGAGTGAAAGAGAACCCTGTCCTTGAGGAGCTCACATCTTTTCATTTCCCAGGGGTCTTCGTCCAGTGCCCAGCACAAGCCTGGCACATAGTAGGTGCTTCATCCATATTTGGTGAATGAGTGGAAAGCAAGTCATTGTCATGTGTTTTTGCCACATGGGCTGCAGTGGGTGACAGAGAAGTTATGCCCGCCAGTCCCTGTCCCTGAACTTTCAGGAATCAAGAGGTCTCTGCAAGTCCAGCCCTAGGTGGGCACTGCGTGGTGCAGTCGGAGGCAGATCATGAAGGAGGCAGTGGGTGAGGGAGAGGAGCTGTGCCTGTGGGATCTGGGAGATGGGGTGAGGATCCCTCCTCTGCCAGATTCTCACTGTGGGCCCTAGGCAGGTCATCTCTCTTCGCAGTCTCTCTGTGCTCCTCTGTATAACGGGGCTACCCTCGAAGAGATACTTGCACAGCCATGTTCAGAGCAGCAGTATTCACAAGAGCCAAGAGGTAGATGCAACCCAAGTATCCACTGATGAATGAATGGATAAACAAAATATAGTCTATCCATATGATGAAATACTATTCAGCCTTAAGGATGGAACTTCTGACACATGCTACAACATCACTGAACCTCGAGGACATTATGCTGAGCAGAAAGACAAATACTGTATGATTCTACTTTTCTGAGGCACCTGGAATAGTCAAATCCATAGAGCCAGAAAGAAGAAAGATGGTTGCCAGGGGCTAGAGAGTGGGATAATGGGGAATTGTGATTTAATGGGTATAGAGTTTTAGCTTTACAAGACAAAAAGCATTCTGGAAATTGGTTGGATGACAATGTGAATGTACTTAGCTGTACTGTACACTTAAATATGTTTAAGACACTAACTTTTATGTTACGTGTATTTTACCATGAGTTTTAAAATGGGGCTAGTTACGCCAGTCTCCTGAGGTTGCTGTGAAAATTTCATGAGATCATATATAGGGAATCCCTCAGCATGGTCCCCAGCACATAGTAACTACTCAGTAAATCATAACTTGATGCTATTGATGATTCAGTTGTCTGACTTCTCTGAGTCTTGCTCTCCTCGGCTGAAAATTTTTCCAATAAATATTTGTTGAGACCCCACTGTATTATACCAGATTCATAAATAGCACTTCCCTATTCCCCTTCCCATAGAGCAAAGTGAGTAGAAGACACTTGTCTGCACTAGGAAAGCTCCATTCTGATGGGGAGAAGGGAATGATGGATGGAGGGGGCCTTTGTACTCCTATGAGGAGTGCGCTTTCTCTAGATGTCCAGAAATAAAACAGAGCTCCTGGGCAATGAAGAAAGACGCTGTCTCTACAAAAAAAATAAAAAAATTAAATAACAAATTTAGCTGGATGTGGTGGTGTGAGCCTGTCATCCCAGCTACTTGGGAGACTGAGGCAGGAGGATTGGTTGATCCCAGGAGTTCGAGGCTGCAGTGAGCTATGATTGCACCTCTGCACTCCAGCCTAGGTGACAGACTGAGCTCCTGTCTCTTAAAAACAAAAAAGAAAAGGAAAGAAATAAGGCAGGGGCCTGGGCTTCTTCCACCCCCGTTAAGGATGCTTTGTACTTCCCAGCTAGTACTGTACTTCCTAGAAGCTGCCTCTTCCTCTGCCTCATTACCTCATGGCCCAGTCAGCACCATCATCATCACCGTCACCATCATCATCACCGTCACCATCATCATCACTATCATCATCATCATCATCATCACCATTGTCACCATCACCATCCTCACCATCATTATCACTATTATCATCATCACCATTATCACCATTACCATTCTCACCATCACCATCCTCATCATCACCATCTCCTAATCACCATAATCATCACCATTGTCACCATCACCATCCTCACCATCATCATCTCATAATCACCATCTTTACCATCATCATTCTTATCAGCACCATCACTAACATCATCATCATCATCATCACCATCACCATTCTCACCCTCACTATCCCCACTGCACTCTCATTATCACCATCATATCATCATCACCACCCTTAGGAAAAGCTTGGAGAAGGAAAGGATGGGGCATCTTAAAATGCAAGTTTTTTGATGAGGAGGGACAGGCAGAGTTGAAGCTGGAGAGAGGATATCAGACCATGGAGACCACCAGAACACCAAACTAAGAAGCTTAGCCTTTCTCCAGATGCAATGGGGAGTCCTGAAGGACTCTCAGCAAGAGAGTACACTGTCAGATTTGTGTTTAGGCAGAACACTGAGCAATCTCCAGAGAGAGGGAGGCCACCAGTCAGGACCCTGGTCCTGGTCTCCAGCACAGCAGGCAGGAGTGAGGAATGGGGGATGCGTGGGCAGAGACCCTGCTCTCCCTGCCACTCCTTTCCCTGCTCACAGCTCCCCTGCCCCATCTTCACTAATGGGCTCAGCACCTCCAACTGTCCCATCCACTAGATTTGCCCTGATCCCTTCTCCTCTCTCATGCCTGAGGCCCAGCTGACCACCAAATCTGACCAGGTCTACTTCAGAAATTCAATAAGATAACCTGGGTGGAAGTGCTGGTGCTATGCCTAGCCACAACGGGTACTCTATGTGAAGTGAACTGTAAATGTCACCTTAGTTCCTACAGCTTTGTGTTTGAATTCTGCATTATTCCAGATGACTGTCAGCTCTCACCAAGACCAGAGAAGAAGCCTCCCCACTGGTATGGCTGCCCCCAGACCTTCCTTCTTCTGGATGTCTTTCTCAAACTGCAAAGCTGGTCGTGTCCCATTAACTAAAGGACAAGCTCCAAATTCCTTACCATGGCATCCCAGGCCCTGAAGAGTTGAGCCCCACTCCCTCGCTACCTTTACCTTCCTCCCCTCTGCCTCTCGTAGCCACAATGGCCCACTTGCCTTATTCTTTTACCACATTGCTTTGATCATGCTACTCTTCTGCCTGGAATGTCTTTCCCCATCTTCTCTGCTTGGTGAACTCTTATCTCACCTACAAAGCCCAGCTCACCTTCTCTGTGAAGCCTGTTTCCTCCCCATCAGGCAGCAAATAGCCTCTCCCACTAGACCTCTAGCCCCTAAAAGACATGGACAGCTTAATGCATGTTGGTATTGGCTACCCCTCACCCCTATATCCTAATTAGCTAATTCTATTCCCTTATATTTATATCTCCCCATTTATCAAAACTTTCCATAGGTCTGGCACAGAGAGCCACGGGGAGGAGGCTGAGGGGAGGACAGGCAGGAGCACTGCAGGCAGCGTTGGCCCAGGCACCAATGAGACCAAGCAGGATCCAGGGAGCTTCGCCTCTAGAGTGTCTCCCTGGTTTATAAGGTGCTTTCCTCCCTTCCCTTATTGGAGTCAATTTGTGCTGGCTCTACCAGCCTGCATCTCTGAAACACACACTCACACACACCTGCACTCATGCAGAGGCCCACCCAGTGCCGCAAATACCAATCCTCAATCCTAAGAACAATGCCTTCACATATGTTCCATGGCAGGTGTGATGCCAGGTCTCCCCCAACACACACACACACACACACACACACACACACACACACACACACGATCCCACTGTGTTCTCCCAATCAGCCGTACAAGGCTCAGAGCTGAGGGGGAGGGACTCTTTCTGCCAAGGTCACAGAAGTGGGACATGAAGGAGCAGGGATTTGAATCTGGGCCTGGAGGTTGCCACAACATGTGCCATTTTCAGCCCACCACGCTGCCTCCACAGCACGTGAACCCATGAATCTATCAACAGTTACTCATTAATACCCAGCAATATTCCCTCCTCCCCTCCCCTCCCCTCTACCGTCACTCCCATCAGCCTACCAACCATCCCAGAGCCAGCTCTATTTAAGAGCGGGGGCAGGAAGGATGCTCCTCTCCACACCTCTGCCATCCCTCTGCTGTCCCCCAGGGTCCAGCCTCCTCACTGGGAGAAGGATTATAATAGCAGTGGTGACATGAGTGGCTTTGGCCCCAAGGACTTCTCCCAGTGACCTCTGCTCAAGGAATTGCACAGACAGAGGCAAGTTGACTGTAAACTGCCTGCTAAATGACTACAAACCAGCCCAGACCGCTCCAGCACTGAACAGAATGACAGCCCAGGGTTGGCCCGTGGAGGGGGCAGGGCTGGGGAGAGCCGGCCCAGGCCCCAGGGAGCCATCCCCCTTCTTCCCTGAAACCCTGAGCACAGCCACCCAGGTGGGAGGAGAGGAGGTGTGGGGGTTGCTGAGGACTGCCTGGACCTGGAGCCCTAGATATTAGGTCCAGCAGGGCCCCCAGATATACCCCCTTTCCCACCCCCCCCTCCTAACTCACACAGTGTACAAATGAGGAAACTGAGGCTCAGAGAGGAAAGGGGCTTGAGCAAAGTCTCCCAGGCAGTAAGAGACAGAGCCCAAGTTAGAGTCCCTATTTCCCTCCTTTTCTCCCTGGGTCTGTACCTGACCAGCTGTGTGACCTTGGAAGTCACCCAGCCTCTCTAGGCATTGAAGATTCGCAACTCCTGGCATTTCCATTCCACAGAGCTGTTGGGAGGATCAGTATGGGTAACAGTGGTAGCCCTTCATCTATAAATAACACCTTACAGTTTACAAAATATTCCTATATCTTATCTCTTCTCTGATCTTTATAATGACCCTGTGAAGCTCTGTGGAAAATAGGGGCAGGGATCTCATTTGCAGATGAAAAAAATGAGGCTCAGAAAGACAAAGGTCATAGAGAGTTTGGAACAGGACTTGAACTAGAACTCAGGACTCCCAAACCAGTGCTCTTCCCATCACTAAATTACACATAAGGCTGAGAATACATGAAGACTCTAAAGGATACTGCCCAGTGCATGCCACCAAGGTTAGACCTGACCTACCCTGGAGCTCTCAGTCGCTCTGGGACCCAGAGGTAGAAGACCCAAGGTGAAGGGTGACGTGTAAGTCACACGCATCTGAGCTCCAAACCTTGCTCGTTAGCTGTGCAGCCTCTCTTTCTGGACCTCAGAAAGGCTCAGAAGGTGGAACTACAGAAAGCACCAAAAGGCTTAGGATGAGGGCTGAACTGCACCCTGAACGCAGGAGTGCCTGGCAGGGGGTCAGCGCTCATTAGCTTTTGTTTCAAGCACATGGTGTGTTGTGTTTGCTGTGTCTATACCATAGCTTCCGGCTCAGGGCTCCAGATCCAGGGGCCTTCTGATCAACCCTTAGGCTAAGGGATGGATGGATGGATGGATGGATGGATGGATGGATGGATGGGACAGACGCTCAGGAGAGCAGAGAGAAGACCGAGTCAAAATGAGAAGAATGAAAAGACAACTAAAGGATAGGGGGTGAGGCATGGCATACAGGCACAGTGTCCAGCCCTCCTGGCCCCAGCTGACCTGGCCCCACCCAGCCCCACTACCACCTACCTTGGGGTAGCACTGGCACATGCTCCAGATGATGCCCCCGATCACCATGACGCTGCCCATGGCATAGAAGGTGCCGTAGACCTGGGGCCGATCATGGCTCATGAGGAACGTACCGAGGGCCAGCAGGAAAAGCCCCAGCACAATGAAGCCGATCCGGAAGGTCTTCTCGTCAGCCATGGCTGCCTGGCCAGTCCCTGGCCTGCACACCCCCGGGAGAGGGGGTGGCTGTAGTTCAGCCTAAACACCGAGACAGGCTTACACAGGGAGAGAAGACACTGAAATCGCTGCAACTCAAGGCTTCAAGGGAGAGCAAGATCCCTTTCAATCCCGCTCCAGTCCCTGGGCCCACCAGTTCAACAGGGCTGGAGGCGGCTCGCTTCAACGGACCCACACCCAGCCACCTTTACTCCTTGCCCTCTCACCTTCCCTCTGGGCCCGGCTGGCCTGGAGTGTGTGTGTGAATCTGAGCGAGGGAGCACACAGGGGAGGGAGAGTGGGAGGTTACCGGGGCTGGGCCCCAGCCAAGGCTTTGACATCACCTCATTTGCCTACTGTGGGGTTGAGCTGGGTGGACAGGCAGCCTCACACCTTCCAGCTCTAGAAAACAGGGTACAGTTCTGCAGCTGAGAGCTGTTAGAATGCTATTGGAGGATTCCAGGATCCCACAGGCTGGCATTTCAGAATCCTGAAGAATTCTACACTCTTCAAGGACATGTGCCTATCCAGGGTTCAGGAATAATGGCCCATATGTACTGGCTGGTGACTATGTGCAGGGCACCATTCTAAACATGTTACAGCTATTAACTCATTGAAGGGAACCCAGTGAAGCAGCTACTACTATCCCCACTTTACAGAGGACCCTCGGGCACAGACAAGTAACTTGCCCAAGGTCACACAGCTAAAGATGGCAGAGCTAGTGGGATGTGAAGCCAGAGGCCGTGGGCCTAGCCACGGCGTGATACTTCTTAACTGCAGCTTGAGGGTGAAAAGCGTGGCTCTGGTGGCAAGGCAGGCTGCCTGGGTTTGGATTCTGGCTCCTCTACTGTGGGGCAGTGTGGTCATGATCAGGTTACCTCAGTTTCCTCCTCTGTAAAATGGGAATAATAATGTACCTCCCAGATTTGGTGCTGTCTCCAGGCCTGGCCTCCTTGGGTTCCTCCATCCCCTTCACATTCACACGCTATGCACCACCCAGTTGGGCTTTCAATGAACTGCTCCCCACCCACCCCTAAGGCTCTCGGAATTAGTGCCCCTGCAGGGTGTGAGTGACTGACAGTCACTTCCTCCATTTCCTTGCAGCCTGATCTAGGAAGATGCCTTCCTAAGAATAACACTAATGAGGCATTTTAGTCCTAGGGACAGGCTGATGGAAGAAATCAGATTCCTTTACAGGATTACAGGAAAATGAGGACCATCGGTCTCTACAAGAGAATGTTCACTTGGCGTTTACATGGGGTTAAATCGCCGATGCAGGATAAAAGGCTTTCAATGGGCTCCCTGACTTGCTGGGCTTGGGGATTTCCTGTTGGCGGTCATCACCTTCTCCCCTCCTGCCAGCAGGGCTGCCCTTGTTCCCTAACCCCACACCTGTGCTCACAGCTGCCCCTCTAACTAGACGTCCTTCTCATAGGCCCTTTTTCCAACAGGGGTTTCTCCTTCCTCACACCCACCATCGCCAGCCCTCAGAGTCCAGGTGCACTTGACAGTTCGCAGAGGAGGTCCTGGAGGGAGCTCAGGGGCCCTGGCTGAGCGATGGCTGAGGGGCAGGAAAGGGCTGAGTTATCAGGTCATGTCCAGGTCTGGTTCTCAGGGTGAGCTCAGGCAGGTGGCTCTGCTCCGGGCTAGAGTTTTGTCAACTGCAGATTGGGGATAGGTATTAGGCCACCTCCCAGGTTTTGTACAGGGAAGGGACATAAGGGGAGTGGGAAAAGGCAAGTACTTTGTAATCTGTGACTATTAACAAAGCAGGACCTTCCACGGAAACATTATTATCATCATCTACTACAGGCTCAGAGAAGGGAAAGGGCGAGTGCCGTGTTACCTAGCCGGTGCCCCTCCCTGGAAAGGAGACGGAGGCCCAGAGGGACCTCAGCCCGTCTGGCCCTGGAGCCCAGGCGGGTGGCGGGAACGGTCTCCGCAGCCGCGGTCCTGCAGGGCCTCGTGGGCCGCCCGGCGCTGAGCAAGGCGCTTCCCCCGGGGTCAGCGGCTGGGCTCGGACCCGGTGATGAGCAGTCGCGGCGGGGAGGGGAGTCATCGCCCGCATTTCACAGGCGAGGAAACCGAGCCTGCGGAGTGGCAGGGGCTGGCCAAGGTCTCCCTCGGCTGAGTCGGCGGCTGAGCGGTGACCGCACCTCCCCTCCCAGCCCCATGTAGATGGATCTGCTCTTCAGCCATTCCTCAGAGGCCTCGCGGTCACCCGGGCAGTCTTCTTCTCTCGCGCCTTTTCTTTCCTCTACACGGCCCAGCCTTCTTCGCCCCTTTTCTCTCTGAGTCGCTTCTCCTCTTAAAAAAAAAAAAAAAAAATAAGGTAACTACGAGTAAGAAATTCAGTAGCAAGTAGGAAACAGGTAGGAACTCTGGAAAATGGGTCTCACCTAAGCTCTTCCACAGAGTCGGGCTAGGGATTAAGTAAGGACATGTGTGTAGGGTGCGCTGGAAATGTTCGGGTGCAGCAGCTCCCCCTCCTCTCCTGTAGTCCCCCCGCCCTCCCGCCTTACTTCACCTCCCCCGGGCCACCTGGGGGACTGGGGAGCAGAGCGCGCGGAGTCTTTCATCGTCCAGCAGAGGGCGCGCTAACCCCAGCTTTCGGGATCCTTGCGAGCGGGCTCCCATGACACCCCGAGGCAGGGAGGGAAAGAGCACGCCCATTTGACAGAGGTAAGCATCGAGGTCCACGCAGGCAAGGCGAGCGACCCAACGTGGCAGAACCTGGGAACAGACAGTAG
Source organism: Homo sapiens (assembly GCF_000001405.40). Classification (NCBI taxonomy): domain Eukaryota; kingdom Metazoa; phylum Chordata; class Mammalia; order Primates; family Hominidae; genus Homo; species Homo sapiens. The sequence goes on along the minus strand of NC_000001.11, from coordinate 54,996,418 downwards.
AGCTAGGAGTCCACCCAGGTCCCCAGGCAGTCTCTGGTTGAGCCCCTACTGTGTGGGGGACACTGAGCTGTTAGGAACTCGTACACACAGGGCTTCAGGGATGGATGGCGCTCAGTCCTAACTTCTGGGGCACCTTCTGGGGCACAATACGGTAATGGCTTTGCGATGCGTGCGAGGTCCCGAATGTGCACAAAGCAGAGAGAGGAACAGATGGGGATGAGGGGTGAAGGGACAGATTCACAGAAGGGACACTTGAGAAGGCAGTTGGAGTTCTGACGGGGCAGGAGAAACCTCCTAGGCACAGAGGCCAGCATGTGCAAAGGCACTGAGGTACGTACCCGCCGACACACAGCTGGCGAGAAAGCTCTAAGTGCTGTGCACAGGCTGCCTGCATTGCATCTTCCTCCCCAGGCCTGCCCCTCCCATAACCCCATCCTTCCGGTTAGCAAGCCCCGTCACCAACCTCACCTCCTCCATCACACCCACATCCTATGGGCTCTACCTCCAACATGTAAGAATCCAATCACTTCTCACCCCTGACGACTGCTCATCACCGGGTCTGAGCCTCCACCATCTCTTTCTCTCCCTAACTGGTCTCTACTTCCATCCTTGACCTCTGAAGTGTCTTTGCAGCCCCAATACTGGGTCAGATCATGTCACTCTTCTGCACGGAGCCTTGGAATGGCTCCCCATCTCATCAGAGTAAAAGCCAAATGCTTTAAGATGACCTGAAAGGCTCTGGATAATTGGCCCGCGCTGCCTGCATATCAACCCTCTGAGCTTGCCTCCCGCCACGCCCCCTCTCACTCACCCATTCCACCACCCTGGCCCCATGCTGTTCCTGGAACACGCATGCATCCCAGGGCCTCCGCACCTGCTGTTCCTTCTGCCTGGAGTGCTGTTCTTCCTGTAGCTGCATGGCTCCCTCCCTTACCTTCTTCAGGACTTTGCCCAAATGTCGCCTTCACAGTGAGGGCTTCCCTGATCCTGCTATGAAACTGCAGAATCGCCTCCCCAGGGGTTCCCTGTATTCTTTTCTCAATGTTTCTCCATAGTGCTCACAGCCACCTATCATACTATATGCATGATTTATCTTGTCTCTTGTCTGTCTGTCTCCTCAACTAGAACTCAAGCCCCCACAGGGTGGGGACTTTGTTTTGAGCACTGCTCTATCCCCAGGGGCTAGGACAGGGTAGGCTCTGGATGCGTGTGTGAATAGAGGGATGGAATCTGCATGCCTGGGAGAGAGAGGCCGGAGAGGAAATGCAGGCAGGAAACCTGCTGGGGCTAAGGTATCTGACATTTTTCACAGAGGTTATGCATGGGAAAGATGAGAACCAGATTTTAATTTTTCAATTAGAGAGAGAAAGATCCCAGTGAGCAGCAATGAGCCACCGAGGGGGTAGCACAGGGATTTCTGACTGGGGTGGGCTGATTTAAGGTGGAGAGCTCCAGGGGCAGGGGTCACCAAGCCCACCCAGCGGGTAACAGAAGCCCGGGAGGGGCCCAAGGAAAGCACGGGGGAGGTCTGAGCTCTGAGGATCCCTGTCATCTGAGACTCTGGTGGCCAGCACAAGATGAGGTCTGAATAGGGGGTGAAGAAACTGGATGGTCGGGCCCAGGAGGAAAGAAACCAGCAAGCAAACTGGTGCCTCCTGGGGGCTGCAGAGTGGCAGAGCTGGCCCTCACGTGGCTCCATGGTCAGGCACTCTGCCAGTGGACACAAGGAACCCCCATTCACAGCGAGGCCACTTTGGCTTGGAAGGGGACAGTAACATGGCTTGGTCAGGAGTCTGTCTTCCCTCTGCAGCCCTGACTCAGCCTCTTTCATGATGCTGGTGACCTTGAGCAAGTCATGGCCCCTCCTGTGGGCTTCCAGTTAGGCCACAGATGAGTGGATTGGAGAGAAAGGCAGAAAAGTTCTCTGTGCTTCCAGCCCTCCCACCCTTGCCCTTTCAGTGCCTGCCCAGTAAAGTGGTGCCTCCTGGTCACACCAGCAACTCATTAACTCACCTAACTCACCCAAGGTCACTTCACACCTACACCTCCAGGCTCCTAGACTGTCCTGGGTTAATACCAAGAAGAGGAGGGTGAAGCAGTGATGTAGAGGAGAGGAAGGGAGGGAGGCACAGGAGTGATCTAGAGTTTGGTGACAGGGGAGGGAGAGGGTCAGAAGAGACACCCAGGTTGCTGAAGAGCAAGCCCCCAGGAAGCATTTCAGGAGAGAGGAAACAGCCAGTGCAAAAGCCTCAGCGAGACTGGTTGGAGCAGAGAGCAGGGGGAGAGAGTGGCAGGAAATGAGAGGGTCAGGAGAGAGGACAGGCTCAGACCAGGCCTCAGAGCCCCCCTCTCCTCAGACCAGTGTCTGGGCTTTCTTTTCTTTTCTTTTTTCTTTTCTTTTCTTTTCCTTTCTTTTCTTTTCTTTTTGAGAAGGAGTCTCGCTCTGTCACCCAGGCTGGAGTACAGTGGTGCGATCTCGGCTCACTGCAACCTCCACCTCCCGGGTTCAAGCAATTCTCTGCCTCAGCCTCCTGAGGAGCTGAGATTACAGCGCCCGCCACCACACCCAGCTAATTTTTGTATTTTTAGTAGAGACGGGGTTTCACCGTCTTGGCCAGGCTGGTCTTGAACTCCTGACTTCATGATCCACCCGCCTCGGCCTCCCAAAGTGCTGGGATTACAGGCGTGAGCCATCACACCTGGCCTGGGCTTTCATTATTGAAAGTGAGCTGGGAGCCACAGTGGGGGGTGGGGGGAGGGGGAGTGCGGTGGGAAGGGTGGGGTGCAGCAGGGCCAGGGGCAGGGTGGGTCATGATCTGACCTGGGTCTGAACAGCTCACTCTGCCTGCTGGACTGAGAAGAGACTGCAAGGGCCTCAGGGAGAAGCAGAGAGAGACCAAGACTGTGGCTACTGTGACAATCATGCAGCCTAGGTGGGAGAACCCCACACCGGCTGCGCCTTTATTGTCTGGGATTTTTACCTCTCCAAGGCTAGTTCCTCACCTGTTAAATGCTGACACCACCACCTGTCGCAGGGCACTCTGAAGATGATACAATAGCAGAGGACCGGGCCCAGCACATAGTAGGCTCTGGGGATGACACCCTCCTCCAGCTGACTAAGCCCCAGGCCTTTGGACCCCTGCTGGCAGTGTGACCCTGGGAAGATCACTTCACCTCCTTTCATGGAAGTGGGGTGGGCTAGAGACGTAGGGATGCAGAACGGAGCTGGTCAAAAGTAGATGTTTCTGCCACATCTGCAAAGTGAGCAAAAGTAGTGAGCTTCCCGTCAAAGGAGGTATGGGAGCAGAGGCTGAATTTGCACTTGGTGGAGGAGGGTTACCTCTACTCATAAAACTGACAATTACTGCACACTTACTAGGCACCTGGCTCAGGGCTAAGACGCCTGCCTTTATTATCTGGTGCCTCAGCACTGAGCCATTGATGGCGGTGTCAGTGTGAACTCACATGTCAGTTGCTACCATCTCACTGAATCCTCACAAATCAGCTCTTTGAGGGAATCCTCAATTCCCATTTTACAGATGAGGAGGCTAAGGCAGAGAGAGGAAAAATCACTTGTCCAAGTCACTAAGATGGTACATGGCAGACTGGGCACAGTGGCTCACGTCTGTAATCCTAACACTTTAGGAGGCTGGGAGTTCAAGACCAGCCTGGGCAACACAGCAAGCTCCCTCTCTACAACAAATTTTTTAAAATTAGTCGGGCAAGCTTGTGGTTTCTGCTACTTGGGAGGCTGAGGTGGGAGGATCTCTTGAGCCTGGGAGGAAGAGGCTGCAGCGAGTCATGATTGAGCCACTGTACTCCAGCCTGGGTGACACAGTGAGATCCTATCTAAAAAAAAAAAAAAGAAATGGTACCTGGTGGAACCTATACATAGGTGGTCTGAATTCAGAGGCCATGTTCTTCTGGTTATAAACATGATGTGTACCCCTGGGCCCCAGTTTTCTCACCTGCACACAATCTCCCAGCTGACAGCCAGCACTCACCGCTGGCCATAGGAGTGCCACCCAGGATGTCCTGGCCAGCTGGGCCCCTGAAGACTGTAGCCTCACCCATACCACGGAGGGCAGAACACCCCTAGCTGGGCCTAGGCAACTCATAGAGTCGTGAGACATAATAAAATGGGATTTATTTTAAGCCACTAAATTCTGGGGTGGTTTGTTATACAGCAATAGATAAATAGAACAGCCTTCAACAACGAACGTTTGCTGAGTGCCTACTGTGTCCCAGGCACTGCATAAGACTCTGGAGAAGGCACGGCATTTTTGTCTCTGGATTCAGGACCTGCTAGGAGCCTTTAACTTCCTCCCCGTGCAGTCTGAACCAGGCCTGAGCAGGAGCGTGTGGCACTCGGTGTCGTCTCCGCAGAAACGGCATCAAGAGCAAGGCTGATGCTCTCATAGCTGGGTGGAGGCCAGGCGGGCTGGGTGCTGAGCAGGGCATCCCTCGATCCACTTGGCTCCAGGGCTTCCTCCGTAGGGTATGCAGGTGGTGTTGGGGGCCCCTCGGCCACTGGGAAGCTCACGGCTTCCTCGTAAGTGGGGATGTCAACCACTTTGGGGGTCCTGCAGGAACAGAAGAGAGGCTGTTAGCAGGGGCTGGGGCAGACCCTGCTGCCTGCCAGAGAGACAGTGAGGAAGGCTGGGGGCAGAGAAGTCTTCACACCCTGCTCCAAGCCTTTGTGGCTCTCCAGGGTCACATATACGCAGTTGAAACTTGGCATGAGCCAGCCCCTGTGGCCCTCAGCCTTCCCGCCACCCACTCCCTGCGCCATAGAATTAGTTCCCTGTATGTGCTCCCAGCACCTCCTGGTGCCTCCTCAGTTCTCTCTGCAGGGTAAGTCCTACCCTAGGGCAGTGACTGAGAGTCCAGGGGCTGAGGGTAGCTGCTTATGGGTGTTTCATGTTGAAAGATTGAGTGATGGTGGTCCATAGACAGAAGACTCCCGCCTATTGAAATATCCTTTACAAGATCAGAATTGGGATGCCCAGGGCAGAATGGGAGACCTCAATTCCTCTGCCCATCTGGATGCTTTAGATTTTGATATGATGTCTGCCAAGTGATTATCTCTACTTGCATACCTCCAGGGATGGAGAGCTTACAACTTACCAGATCAACCACTTCTATCTCTGGACAGTTTGCTATCCTGTGACTCTTTTCTGGTCCCCACCCCTGGCCAACTAAACCACCCCACAGGGGCTTGAGGCAGAGACCAAGTTCTGCAGGCCAGACCCTGAGACAGATCACCCACGCCCCAGCCAGCCTAAGGCTGATAGGAATGAGACCAGCTGTCGGCCCCCTCAGAGCCCTGGCGGGTCATCTCTGGGGATCCAATGCCCCTCCCCAACCTGGGACACACAGTGGGGAGTGGGGTGGGAATGTCGCTGATCCTGGGTGTGGGCTGCTCTTGCTTTGGGGGTGATCCTGAAGGTCCCTTCCAACACTGAGGGTGGTTATGAGTCTGGGCACTGGTTGGTTCACCTCCCTGCTTGGACACATTCCTGCTGGGAGATCATGGGTCTGTAATTCCATTCATCGAGGCCTGGTTTCCTCATCTGTAAAATGGGGGATGGTAGTGGCACCTGCCTCACAGGACAGAGTGCAGGTTAAATGGGCTCACGGAGGGCAGCACTCAGCGCCCGGGACGTAAGTGGGGTTATGAGCAGAATCTCAAGGGGCTCCTGTGGGGAATGGGTCAGGGAGCAAAGCTTATCACAGGCCTCAAGATGGCAGGCCCCACAAGGCTGAGAGAGGCTGAGTCACTTGCCAGGCTCCTCAGTTTGGAGCTGCTGGGAAGCAGTTGATTCCATACCTGTGGTCCTGCTGTCTAGACCGAGGAGGGGCCAATGGCAAGAGGCCAGTCTGGGGAACAGAAGAAGCAGTAGATGGGACTTAGCTGACGGAGGGGCCCATGCTGGTAGATGGAACCTGCTGCTGCCCCTCAGGTGAACGCCCAGCACCCACCGGGGACCTGGACTTTCTCCGGCAATGTGTCTTCTCGGCCCACTGCAGCCTCACAGCAGCCTGCTGGGAGGCTCACTGCTCCCAATCACAGACCAGGGTGACGGAGCAGATTGATGGGATCCTGGATTTGAACCCCAGCCTGTATGTCAGTACAGGGCAGGGCACCAGCCAGAAATCCCTGGGACACCAGCCAGGAGTCCCAAACATGGAACTCCCTGTCCAGTGCTCCTGTGAACTCTCACAGACCTCCCTTCCTTCTCTGGAAGACAGCCGAGGAAGCTGAGATAGTGCCTGTCCTCACCCTCCTCTGAGCTCCCAGCATCCTTGCAGATGAGGGCAGGACAGAGAATATTCCTCCTGGAAGGAGGCAAGTTGGGTTCTACTGCTGTGTGACCTGGACCACATTTACACCTTCTCTGAACCTCTTTCTCCTCATCCGTAAAATGAGGATAATATTTCTCCTTTCAGATTCAGGGGCAAAAAAAAAAAGAAAAACAAATGTTTCACAACACTCAGAAAAGTGTAAGTAATTAGCTTCCAGAGCCCCATCTCCTGCCTGCTCACCTCCCAGCCATGCTCCAGCCCCACTTAGAGCCCTGGACACCTGAGACAGGCTTTGGGTAGGCCTGGGGCCATCCCAGCAGGTGACAGCTGGCAGGGCAGGGCACAGGTGCCGGTGAGTTCTGCCCACAGCAGGAAGTTTGCTTAGAGGGCAGATGTGAAGCGGCCCTCACACCACCTTCTGTCACCTTAGTGACCAGCTGGGCCCGCCCAGCTCCAAGTCGCCAAGGTCACAGTCGAGGATGCCAGGAACTCAGCAAGCAGGGCAGCTGCATCACACCCCTCTGGGAGCAGGCCCCATTCATGGATATGGCGCCTCGGCAGCTGTGTGGGGCAGTCCTGCCACAGTGGTCTCCCCGCACAGGAAGTGCCATGGAGGCTAGGGCTCACCCCAATCTTTGGAGTCTGGTTGGGGCAGGAGACCTGGGCCTGGCACCAGCTCCACTGCCTTTCAGCTGAGTCAGGCAAACCCAGGAAGAGTGGGGCAAGGGATGAAATACAATTTGCCCAACACTTAAGTTCTCTAATCTCCTTTCATATTCACAACCACCCTGGGGGGTAGAGGCCTGCACCCACTTTACAGATGAGTAAAGGCCATGTGTCAACTAAGTGGCAAAGCCCCAGCTTCGTCTGACTGCAAAGCTCAAGCTAAGTCCACCTATCACACCTCTCCCCCAAGCCACCTCATCTCTCCTCACCTCAGTCTTCTCAGCTGTCAAATGGGCCTAATCCTTACACTTACCTCATAAGCAGTTGAGGCTCAAATCTAGTGGGCATGAGGGCGCACTGTAAATTAAAACAGGAATAGCAGAGAAAGCAGATGTGTGTACCAGCTACAGAGTGCACGCTTCCCTAACTCTCATCTCATCTGAGCCTGACAGCGATGATAGGGAAAAGGTCTTCACCCCAGTTGAGAGAAGAGGTGTCAGACACAGCCTCAGAGAGTCTAAGTAACATCCTCAAGGACACACAGCTTCTAAAAGAAAGAGCAGGGACTACTGGAGGCCCCACATCCAGCCACCTCACTAAGGGGACTTACACTCAAGATAGGAGCTTCCTGAGGGCAGGGATTTTGTCTGTTTTGCCCACTGTGGCACCGTCAGTTCTCTGAATAGCACCCAGCATACCTACGTGTGCTCAATCAATATTAGGCACATGCATGAAAGAGTAAGTAGATGAATAAACGGGGAAACCGAGGCCAAGAGGGGAAGGGACCTGCCCAAGCCATCAGCCCAGGAAGGCTTTATTTCTGACCTAGAGTTACCCACAGCGGGCACCACCAGAGACTGAGGTGCCTGGGAGCAGGAATAGCAGAGTAGCCACCCATGGGGGCCAGGTGCTGGGCTCTGCAGGCAGCAGGGCTGGGCTGAGTCAGCCTCAGGACAGGAAAGAGCACCTCCAGCAGAAGCAGCCTCCTCGACCCCCAGCCCCCCAGTTTTGAGTCTACGACTGGGGTCTTGGAGCTCGATGGGCTACGATCACCCTGTGACCTCCTAGGTGGGCTTCCTCCCTGGCCCACTGGGAGTGAAGGCCAAGGGGCCCCACCTGCCAGGTGCAGCTGTGCCTAGACCCTGTTGCAACAACATGGCTGTGTGTACAGGCAACACCCACCCCCTGCACTCACGCCTGGCTGGGTGGGAGGAGCAGGCTCTGGTCCAGAGCATCTGGGGCCTGGCCTGGTTCCAACTGACCACTAACTCACTGTATCACCAGCTAGGTCACTTGGTCTTTCTGAGACCCAGGTCTCTCATCTGAGAAGTGAAGGGTTTGGCTGGAGAGTCCCCAAGGCCCTGCAATATCTAACACTATGTAAATGCTATGTAAATACACATGTAAATGCTATTTCAAGTATTTTGGATCCATGGTTGGTTGAATCATGGATGCAGAACCCATAGACAGAAAGGGCTGACTGTACTGCATCATCTCTAGCTTTAAGAAGTCACAGGCTGGTAGCAGGAATGCTCCTACATTCTTCGACTCGGAAAACATTTTCCCTGTTAAAACAGGGAGGAAGAGCATTCAGGTCCCAGGTCCCAGCAGCTCACGGCAGTCTGGCTTAGCCCCTCACACACAGGGATCCAGGGCTTAGGACTGACGTGGGAGGAAGAATGCCAGCCGTGCAGCCAGCAGGCTCCTGCCACTTTCTAGCTATGCCTCTCCTTCCTTTTCTGCAGACACAACAGTCATTCTTACCTTGCAGGAAATAGAAAAGACAGGAGGTGATGTACACAGGCCCCTAGTACATAGGCACACTCTGTACTTTGTTGAATACATAAGTACATAAAAGGGCATGCATAATACATGCATTCTCAACAGGACACACATTGGTTCTTGGGGAGGGTAATACTCTTTTTATGTATAAAGCACAGATATACATATAGAACATAAACAAATACACAGTGTATCTGGGGTGTTACAATTTCATGGAAGAGGATTTGGAAAAAAAAAAGTCTAAGAAGGATGGCACAAGGCAGGGTGGGGAGACCCATAATGAAAATAAAAGGTTGAGAGATGCTGTCTTCATGCAACACTTTGTCCCCAACCCCATACCTTTGTGCATGCTCTTCTGCCTGCCTAAAATGCCTCTTTTCCACCATGTCCACTAGAGGAAAAGTTGACATTTGCTGTGCACCCACTGTGTACCAGGCACTCGGCTAAAGCTCAACATACATATCTCATTTAATTTTCCCAAGTGTCACCTGAAGTAGGGAGTGGGCGTGAGCATAGACTCTGAGGCCAGACTGCCTGGGTTCAAGTCCTGGTTCTGACACACACTATCTGATGTCCTTGGCTGAGTTACTTAGTGTCTCCATGCCTCCTTTTCCTCCTTTACAAATGGAACTCATAACAGTAGCTACTTCAGAGGGCTGCTGTAAGGATCAGCTGAGCGAGTATGGAAGAGCACTTTGAACAGTGCCTGGCACAGGGCTGTACTGTAGAGGGGTTTGCTATTATTGCTGTTGCTATTAGTCCTTTTCATTTCAAATGAGGAAGTTAAAGCTTAGGGGGATTGCATGACCTACTCAAAGTCCCACTGCTAGTTTGTGATAGAACCAGAACAGGGTCCCAGTGGGTCTGACTCTTGCGCCTAGGCTTTTAACCCTCTGCTATTCTGTCCCATACCAAGCTGAGCTCAGCTGCCACCTCCTCCAGGAAGCCTTCCTGGGTTTCTCCATGTCTTTAAAAGCCATGCCTCTCTCACACAGCACTACCTACTCCGGTTTGTCATCATCAGCTTCTGTCATGGGGCTTTAAACTCCTTCAGGGCTGTACTGATCAGCTTCCGTGTACCCAGGACACAGGGCAAAGCCTGATCCAAAGGAGGAACCCCATGAGAATTTGCTGGAATTACAAATGCTGGCTGGTGGGCTGGTGTGACTGGGCCCCTACCTGCAGTCCCCACCCGCTGCCACACCCCGCCCTGCTGACCTGCAGCTCTCCTTCTCTGAGGACTCCACAGTGAGGTAGTACAGGTCTCTGGAGAGGTGATAGGGGTCCCATCGAGGTGGCCCTGGGATGCTGGCCTTGACGGACCACAGCAGGCCAATGAGCAGCAGCAGGCCACCTGCACCGCAGCAGACGAAGCTGACGGACCTGAGCAGGGGGCTGGGGCCCTCAGGCACCGGATACTCCGTGGGTGGGGCCAGCTGGCCAGGCTGGGCGGTTGCATCCCCTTCGCTCCACCAAGCGAAGCAGAGCGTCCCGGCCACCAGAACCACTGTGCCGCTGACTGTCATGCAATAGCGGAGGGTGGAGGCCAAGTGGCTCCCGTCACACATCTGGACACAGAGAAGGAGGGAGAAGAGGAAATGGGCCATATGAAAGGTGCTGGAGGCCAGGTGTTAATTCCTTTGCCTGAGGTCACTGTACAACCTTGGAGAAGTCACTTAACTCCTCTGGGCCTCAGTTTCCTCATCTGTGAAGTGGAGATGATGCCCCTGACTTTGCCGGGCTATTCTGAAGGTCAGAGGTAAACATGTATCAGCACCATGACTGGGAAATCTCAGGAGCTAAGTATGACCACTTTCACTCAGGGCCTCCCTCCAGGCCTCAGGGGCCCCATCTGCCTGGTGGGTCTAAAACTTCCCACCCTGACTGCCACACAGGAAGCTGGGACAGAGAAAAGTAACGCATGTTGGAACCTCCAGGCCTGCCAGGATCAGGGTTTGCTGGTTATGCACTGCCTGACTTCACCTGGTCATAATCTTGTGAGATGGACACTGTTACTGAATAGAGGAAGATACCGAGACCCAGAACAAGTGTGAAAGAGGGATATTGAAGAGTCTGAGGCCGAAATTCGCAACATAGAGCAAAACTTTATGGAAAAAGATGTTCAGCAAGCCAGGTGCAGTGACTCACGCCTGTAATCCCAGCACTTTGGGAGGCCAAGGCGGGCAGATCACCTGAGGTCAGGAGTTCGAGACCAGCCTGGCCAACAGGGTGAATCCCCATCTCTACTAAAACTACAAAAATTAGCTGAGCATGGCGGCACATGCCTGTAATCCCAGCTACTCGGGAGGCTGAGGCAGGAGAATCACTTGAACCTGGGAGGCAGAGGTTGTAGTGAGCCGAGATCGCACCACTGCACTCCAGCCTGGGCAAAAGAGTGAGACTCTGTCACACACACATACACACACACACACACACACACACACATACACACGTTCACCGTGGCCTTATTAATAATGGTCATAATTTGGAAAGTGCTAAAATGTTCAATTGTAAAGAAATGGTGAGTAAACTATGGCATAATCTCTAGAATGAATAATTAATATTAGCCCATTTTTTTAAAAAATCAAGCTCAGCACAAAGGTTTAACAAGAGGAGGAAACATTTATCACATCTTGCTTTTTTCAACTTAGTATACTAAATTATGCATACAGTGTTGTCTCAATTAAATAAAAGAATGCACGGGGGGAAAAACCTGGAAGGGTCCTGGCCCCGGATCACACAGATGTAGGAGGCGGAAACCTAGGTCTGAGTTGTCCCCAAAGCCAATTTCTAGGCTGTCCATTGTACCTTCCAGTCCCTGTACCTGTAACTTCCCATTAGCTCCCCTCAAGGCTCAGCTCAGCCTCACCAGGGAAGCCTTCTCTGAAGACACTTTAACTTTAAACCCCTAAGTGCCCTGGGCCACCTTTGCCACAGCAGAAACCTGTGCTTAACTTCTGCTTCACTTATCCCACTCCCCGGTCTGTGAGCTCCCTGAGGGCAGGGTCCATGCTGGCCTTGTTCACCACTATATCCCCTCAGTGCCTAGCATATAATAGCTGCTCAATAAATCCTCTGAACTGAGGGAAAGTGTTGCTGGATAAATCAATGCTGGTCGGGTGAAAATCCACCCTCACAGTTGTGAAGAGCTGGGAGAGAGGAGGCAGTGCAGGATTCCAGCTTCCACAGCACAGGGACATGAAGGACAGTCCCGGCTTTGGTCCCCCCTCTACAGCTGTATCATGGGATAAGCCTCTCACCTGCCCCGGGCCTGCTTCCTCATCGGATAAAAGGCAGGCTCTCTAGGAGGCTGCTAGGAGGATTTGCAGAAGCACTGTCTCCTCTTCCAGAGGCTGAGCCAGTGAAGCAGGCAGCGGGGGCCACAGACCTTAAAGAGAGGCTTCAGTGATCACAAATCCCTTCCAAGTGGGGCTTGCCCAGCCAACAACAATATATCCAAATGACATACTGCTGTGCGGCTGCTCAAAGGCATGATCCCATGGGAGCTGAAGGGCATGGCAAATGTTCAAGATGCAGTAGGTGAAACTTTAGATTTCAAAAGGGCATGTTACCAAATGTGTTTAAAAACACACGTGTGTGTGTGTGTGCATGTGTGTGTGAGAGAGAGAGAATGTACACATGTAAAAGGGGCGCTCTGGGAGTGGACCTCAATCTTTCTGCACCCCTAGACCTCTGGATGCATATAGAGAAATTCCATTTGTAAATTACCTGCAGTTCTCTTCCTGTGAATCTGTCCAGGGGGCAAGTGCCTCCTGTCTCCAGCTCAAAGCCTTTTCATGTAGGGAGCAAAAAATTCTGACTACTCCCAGTCCCCCATCCCCAAAGTCAAAGAGCTAGGAGAGGCTGTCAAGAGGAGAAACCTGCTTCTGGGAAAAAAAATTCAAAAAACAAAACACACAAGCAAATCAAGAACAGTAACCACTGCCTGTATGTTATGGTACTCAACAGTCCCCCTTTATACCTAGCATCGCACCTGCCTCCCTACAGGTGGGCAGGCCATATGAAAAGTCCCATTTTACAAATGAGGAGAGTGAGCCCAAAAAGGTGAAGGACCTGGTCCAAAGCCAGGTACAGCAGGGTTCTCAGCACTGGAGGAGCACACACCTAGGCACACCTGCGTGGGGCAACCTACACTGCTTTTTACTTTGTACCAAACAATAGTTGCTGCTCATTGTGGAAAAAGGAGAAAACCACAGAAGAGAATAAAAATTTAAAAATACAGGCTGGGCACAGTGGCTCACACCTGTAATCCCAGTACTTTGGGAGGCCGAGGTGGGTGGATCACCTGAGGTCAGGAGTTTGAGACCAGCCTGGGCAATATGGTGAAACCCCCGTCTCTACTAGAAATACAAAAATTAGCCAATTAGCCAGGCGTGGTGGTGGGCACCTGTAGTCCCAGCTACTCGGGATGCTGAGGCACGAGAATCACTTGAACCCAGGATGTGGAGGTTGCAGTGAGCCGAGATTGCGTCACTGCACTCCAGCCTGGGTGACAGAGTGAGACTCTTTCTCAAAAAAAAACAAAAAAAAAAAACAAAGCAAAACACAAATCACCACTAATCTTGCCTCTCAAAGATTAGCAAAATCCCCAGGTGGCTGTTTCCTGTTCATTGCCCCCTTGTCCTGCATACAGGATGATGGCAGCAGCAGATGTGTGCTGTGCATTTATCAGGCTGGGCATTTACCAGGCTGGGCACCATGCCAAGGACTTTACAGGTGTCCCCTCACTTAATCCCCACAACAGCACTGTGTCCTAAAGACACTGTGGCCACTAGGGTGACAATTTCTCCACAATTGGTGACCATAATAGGGTGACAATTTGTCCACTAGGGTTACTGCTGGATTTGGACCCAGGTCTAGTCTGAGTCAAATCCCTGTCTGTGTGTACAGCTAGGTCTATCAGTATTTTTTAATATAGAAAGTTGAGACCACGCTGCAAATAGATGTACTTGTCTTTGGCACGGGCAGCTCTCACTCTTTAGAATGCATGGCCCTCCTTCCCAGCTTAACTCCTCCCGGGCCTCAGACTAGCCCCTGCAACTGCCCTTTGCGTGTTCTCACATGGGGTCGGGGTCATTTTCTGTGTGGGTCTCGCTCCTTCCATGTGGATCCCCCACAGCAGGCAGGGCACATGCTAACCTGCCATCCTGGGGGACGGTTGGGGTGGAGAAGGTCAATGTCCACTGGATGAAGGGCAGCCTGTTCCATTGTGCAGTGGTTGTTTTCCTTATTATTATAGGTCAGGGATGTCACTATCAGCAGGCTGTTCTCACCCAAACTCCTTTCACCTGGACCCTCTACTAGACCTGTGCTCCTTCCACCTGGAGCGCCCTCTGCTTACATCCAGGACTCTCATTGCACCCCTTCCCAGAAGGCTGTCTACAGAAGCTGCCCCCACCTCCCTCCAGCCAGAGGAGGGTTTTCCGGGAATCAGATGCATCCATTGATCACCCCCTCTGACTACAGTGGTCATTCCCTGTTAGCTCTGTGACCACCCAGCATCTCTGAGTTCAAATCCCTGCCTGCAAGGGGAAAGCAGGTAATGAAAATGAGATGGCAAGACGGCAGGCTGTAAGTGAGGCACAGGGACACAAGGCTGGACCGAGGATGCACCCTGCTCTGACACTGGCAGGATCCAGCTTCTCCACGCCTTAGTGTCCTCCCTGTAAATGGGCACAATAATACCATATTGCTTCTCAGAATGAGAATATATTAAAATAAAATTTATTCTTATTATGATTATTTTTATTTCCACAGCAGTGCTCAGCACCTGTCCCTGCCCTTCATCTTGCCCTATCTGCTCACTGGTGGCAGGGCCAGCCTGAATCTATCATCTGCCCCCTGGCAAGGGGGCAGCATCTTCAGTAAAAGTCTAGTAGAAAGGCCCTGCTCCTGTCAGGAGAGTCCGGAGGACAGAGCCTCCCTCCTGCACCCACTCCTGCACAAAGCCAGGATGGAACGCCATGCCATTCTCCGTGCCCTACTCCATACCAATAAGGGCATTTTTGTTTTGTTTTGTTTTGTTTGAGATTCCATCTTGCTCTGTTGCCCAGGCTGGAGGGCAGTCCTGCGATCTCGGCTCATTGCACCCTCTGCCTCCTGAGTTCAAGTGATTCTCCTGCCTCAGCTTCCTAAGCAGCTAGGATTACAAGCGCCCGCCACCATGCCCGGCTAATTTTTGTATTTTTAGTAGAGACAGGGTTTCATCATGTTGCCCAGGCTGGTCTCGAACTCCTGACCTCAAGTTATCAGCCCGCCTCGGCCTCCCAAAGTGCTGGGATTACAGGCGTGAGCCACCGCACCAGGCCCCAATAAGGGCACTTTAGATGCCGCTTTCTGTAAAGACGAAACTGTCCGAACAAGAATTTGTTCTTGTTCCCCAATTGAGGCCCTGAGTGCCATGGCCTCAAGCCACCCAGCAAGATAAAACCCAGGCAGAGCCCCGGGTGTCCACACTGCCCACCAAGCCACGGTGACCGAGGTTAGGGGAAGGGGTCGGGGCAAGGTCGACGACAGAAGGGGCTGAGTGCCCGTAAAGGAGGGAGAAGGCCGTTTCCACCCACCTGGGGCAGGGCCATCGGGAGGCGGGCAGCAGGCGCTGTCCAGGCGCGCAGGGAGCCGGGCGCAGGTGAAGGTGTGGTGGTGGAGGACGCCAGGGCTGAGCGACCCTACCAGCGGCGACCCTCGGGTCTGCAGGAGGCGCGGGTGTTAGGGGCGGAGGGGCCTGGCCGCTGCCCCCGAGCCCTGCTCCCCAGCCCGCAAAACCGAGGTCTGGCTCCTGGGCCCTCCCAGGGCTCACCAGCCGCGCCCTCTCCGCCGCCCGCACCCGGTGCGCAGGGACCGAGCCAGGCCTCACCCCGGCGCCCGCCCCGAGGGCTGCGCGCTCCCCGCGGGGCTCTGAGGCTGCCGTGGGGCGCCCAGGGGAGCGCGGGACCCGGGCCTCGCCCTCCACTCCGGTGGTGACGCCCGCCCCACCTCTCCTCCGCGTCCTCGGGCAGCTCCAGGTGTCCAGCGCTGTCGCCCAGCCCGCCCCGCCCGTCCTTAAAGCGCCAGCACGATTGGGCTGGCGGGGACTGGGGCTTGCCAGCGCGGCGGGGCCCGAGGAGCCGCGGGGCTGCTGCTGACCGGAACGCCTTGGCGCGGATCGGAACCTTGGGTCCTGGGGGCCGTCACGCCCCCGCGAGCGCTCCAGGGCGGGCTTGGAAATGGAGACAAACTCCTCCGAGCCGTTAAGGCTCAGCCGGACAGGGCTTAGGAGTCCCGAGCCCAGTCCTGTTCACCCCCATTTTATAGAAAGGGAAACTGAGGCCCAGACAGGGGAAAGTCACTTGCCGAGGTGTTTGCTGCAGACTGCGTTGACCGAACCTGCTTTTTCACAGCAGTCAGACAGCAAGCCCTCCCGTCCCTCCAGGACCCTAGTTCCTGGGGAGGAAGGCGTTCTCAGCGATAATGACCAGCATTAAAGTGCTCCCCGTTACCGGCGTCACTGCCCCAGCCAGTGGAGGCCCCGGAGAGGGACTGAAGATGTGTCACCTAACTTCTCTGAACCTTCCTCCCTCAAGGAGAACTGATAATCCCTAACTCACAGTTCTGTGAGGATTGAATGCCTTAAGCATGCAGGTTAAGTGGCTACTGAAGGCAGTTTTTGTGGACAGGTGATTTGGGAGCCTGGAGGAAGGGTTACGTGCGCGCGCGTGTGTGCGTGTGTGTGTGCGTGTGTGTAAGAATCTTTCCGTGAGAGGACATCTGAGGTGCCTTAGGAGAGTAGGAGTGGACAACAGCATCCAGGCAGAAGGAGCAGCATGTAGGTGAAGTCACAGGCTGGTGAGATCCTGACAAGTTCATGTGGGCCAAGGGAAGCCATTTCCAGAACCAGCTGGGGTCTGGGTTTTGTTCTTGCCCTTTCCTGCTACTCCAGCAAGCCGGGGGACTGGGGCCAGCTTGCCACTGGCATGGCCTAGATTCCCCAGTGAGCTGGGGGTGACTAACTCTCTTCCCAGCCCAAGGATAGAAGGTGGAGCAGCCTGGCCGGCAGGGATCTGAAGCCCAGAGAGAGGAAGCCACTGGCTCCAAGTCACAGAGCAGGTCAGCGGCAGGGCCCTGGGCCCCCAAACTCTGTCTCTGAAGAAATATCCCACCAGGAAACTAAGGCTCAGAGAAGGGCACAGGCCTGTGTGTGCAAGGCTACAGAGCCGAGACAAGGACCAGGCAGACTTCCTTTGACTTTCAGTCTGTAGGTGGGACCAAGGCCGCTGGCAGCCCTCTTTGCACCCTTGTAGGCACAGGGGAGATATGAATGGGAAGCTGGAGGCCACAGAGCTTTTGGCTCCACTCATTTCCACAGGGCAGGCATCTGTGTGTGTTGTGGGCCCCTCACTGGTCAAAATGGACCCTCCCAGCCCTGCCTGTGTAGTCCCAGAAGTGAGTCACAGGTTGCTGATGTTGGGGTCCAGGCCTGGACAGGCTGATGTTGCTAGCACACCCCTCGGGCCCTGCTTCAACCTGAATCCCTGGGCCAGGCTGGAAGCTCAGGCCCTGGAACTGGACAAGTCACGGTTCCTTCCTGCCTTAGCCACTTTCAGACCAGAAGACTGGCCACATCTTTATCTGTAAAATAGAGACAATGGCACCTCCTTCCTAGAATAGCTATTGGGGTTTAGTAAGACCTTAGCCTGAGGAGCTGGCCAGGGTATGTCCTCACATGACACAATGGCTCTATTTGTGAATCTCCCCTAGTTTATGGGGACCTCCTGAGTGCAGGGACCAGGTGTCACTTGGCTCAGGACCCAGCCGGATGCAGTACAGCTGGGACCAGAAGGGGCTGGGCCTGGGTGCTAATTGAAATCCAGGAATCTAACCCAGGTTTTCTGGCTCTGTCTTCTTCCCCACCTTTCAGAAACTGGTCCCAGCGTCAGATCTGCGATGCTGCCCAGGCATGGTGGTGACCCTCTCTAAACAAGCACACTCAGAATTTCCCTGGCTCGGCTGGGCGACTCAGAAGAAAACTGGCCATCAGCTTCTGCCTCAAGCGGGTAGGGAAGGGAGCTACCATTTGTACCCACTTATCACATGTCACCAGCCACATACTCTTCCCATTTCGTTGTCACCTCAGCTAAGTCATGGAGGCTCAGAGAGAAGTGCATTGCCCAGGGCTCACAGCTAATAAGTGGGGATTGGGGAGAGGAGGTGCTGAAATCCATGTCAGTCTGAATCTTCCAGACCCGTATGCACTTCTCCAGTTTTTGCCACATTGTCCCCTCTTTGTTACAGCCTGTGTTCCTGCTCCTGCCTCTCACTGGCCTCTCTGCCCCCAAGCTGACTGCCCTTCATGAGACACCAGCTTGAGCTTCCAGACCAGCATCCCCATCAGTCTCTCACCTGCCAAACCTTTCAATGGCTCCCCCACTGCCCTCAGAATAACAACCCCAGCTCCAAGCATCCACAGTCTTGTAACCAAATCCCTGGCCACCTCCCAGCTTCACTTCCTGTGCTCCCTACCATATCATGCCTGAACTCACTGTTCACTGTGTCCCAGGGACAATGCCACACCTTGGTCACAAAGGCCCTTTCCTCACCTGGTGAGCTCATGCACTTCCCTTAAAACTCAGGTTACAGGTCACCTTTTCTAGGTGACTTCTCAGTGTCCCAAAGTAGTATAATCTGGTCCCTCTTCCAGGCTTCCAAAGGGATTTACAGGTCCATCCATCCTAGGCCTGAGCACACTGACAAAAACAAAACTGCATGCCTGCCTTCTTCTTCTTTTTTTTTTTTTTTTTTTCAGTGAAAAGAAATTGCTGGACATTGCAGAAAAATCAGAAAATGTCAGTAAGTTAAAAGAAATCAGGCCAGGCACAGTGGCTCAAGCCTGTAATCCCAGCACTCCGGGAAGCCGAGATCACCTGAGGGCAGATCACCTGAGGTCAGGAATTTGAGACCAGCCTGGCCAACATGGTGAAACCCTGCCTTCACTAAAAATACAAAAATTAGCCAGGCTTCGTGGCGGGCACCTGTAATACCAGCTACTTGGGAGGCTGAGGCAGGAGAATTCCCTGAACCTGGGAGGCAGAGGTTGCAGTGAGCCGAGATCACACCACTGCACTCCAGCCTGAGTGACAAAGACCCCATCTCAAACAGCTTCTAGTAGCAACCTACAATGCACAGGACAGGACAGCACCCCCAACAAAGAATTATCCAGTCCCAGATGTCAAGCACCGGGTTGAGAATCCCTGGTTTAGACTGCCTTAGTTAGGTTTTAGAGACTGGCTGGTTCAAAGGTTTGCACACTGTGTTCTACAGAGACTCTGGAGCTCCTGGGAGTGGAACGAGAGGAAGTGGACAGGGACCCCAACCACATTCCCCGGCCAGTCAGAGCAGGTGCCCTTTAGGTCAGCTTTTGAAGCTAGAGTTCTGTATTAGCTTTGCTTTGGAAAAGTCCCTGGGGGTAGGGGGGTGCGTAGGGAAAAGATTTGAATGCCATTACCCTGCTTTGATTTATAGGCCCAGAAAAGGAAAGTGAGTTGCCTGAAGTCACGTAGCAAATCTGAAGTACAACAGGGACCTAGACACAGAGCCTTGGTGTCCAGCACGCTTTGTACCACCCCTTAGCCCTATTGATAATCACTGACACCCTGGGCTAGGAGTCGGGCACCTGGGGAGTGCTGGCAAACTGTGGCTCATAGACCAGACCTGGCTCACTGCCCGTTTTTATACAGCCTGCCAACTAAGAATAATAGTTTCCACATCTTTTTAATGGTTGAAGAAAATAAAGAGTATTTCATGGCCGGGCGTGATGGCTCATGACTATAATCCCAGCACTCTGGGAGACTGAGGAGGATGGATCACTTAAGGTCAGGAGTTCATGACCATCCTGGCCAACATGGTGAAACCCCATCTCTACTAAAAATACAAAAATTAGCCAAGTGTGGTGGTGGGCAACTGTAATCCCAGCTACTCGGGGGCTGAGGCAGGAGAATCACTTGAACCTGGGAGGCAGAGGTTGCAGTGGCCAAGATCATGCCACTGCCCTCCAGCCTGGGCAACAGAGCGAGACTTTGTCGCAAAAATAAATAAATAAATAAGAATATTTCATTACATACAGAATTTTATGAAATTCAAAATGTAGCCTCTAAAAAGTTTTATTGGAACACAGTTGTGCTCATTCTTTACATACTACTTTTGTGCTACGATGTTAGAAGGAAATAGTTATGACAGAAACTGTATAGCTCACAAAGCCTAAATATTTGCTATCTAAACCTTTACAAAAAATGTTTGCTGGCCCCTGCCCTAGGCTGTAGCTCAGCCTGTCACTCATGTGCTGTGCAATCTTGGCCAAGCAACCATACCTCCCTGGACCTCATCACTTAAAAAATAGGGGTAAAACTTCTCTCCAGAGATGGGTGCCTCATTAGTTTTCTATTGCTACACAACAAATTATTATAAACTTAGCAGTTTAAAATAACATATATTTATTATCTCATATTTCTGTAAGTTAGAAATCTAGCTGGAGTCAACTGGGTTCTCTGCGTAGGGTCTGTCAAAGTCAAAGGCAAGGTGTTGGCTGGGCTGGCCTCTTGTCTGGAGGCTTAGGGGAAGAATCTGCTTCCAAGGTAATCCAGGTTGTTGGCAGAATCCAGGTCCTTGCCATAGGACTGAGGTCCTCATTTTCTTTCCTGCTGTCAGCCAGGGGGCCAATCTCTGCTCCTAGTGGCTGCCCCCTAGCCCCCTCCAACCCAGCAAGGGAAAACCTCCCTCAAGCCAAGTCTGCCTCGTGCCTTAAACCTGTCTGACTGCCTTTTCTACCACTAGCCAAAGAAAACTCTCTGCTTTTAAAGGGCTCCCATGATTAGGTTAGACCCACCCATCTCCTACCTTAAGGTCTGCTGATTAGTAATCTTAATTTCATCTACAGAATTCCTCTTGCCATGTCACATAATCAAAACATTAACATCGGAGGGCAAAGGCTATGAGAGCCATCTCAGAATTCTGCCTTCTGCAGGTGCTGTGGCAAGGAAGACAGAGCATGTGTGTTGTGAACACTCATTAGAGGATCATCCCTGCTGTGCCAGGTGCCATGGCGCTGGATGCAGAAAGCAGGACACATGGAAAGATGGTGTGTTCACAAAGAATTTGGAAGAAAGCCAGATGGTGACAAGAGTGTGTCTCTGAATGCCCCTTTTGGGGGTCACTAAAAATGCCCCAGGGTTTTTAGTTAGACCAAAAAGGAGGCTTCAAAGAGATGACTTCTGAGCCGGGTTGTGATACATCTAGGATGTCAACAGGCAGAGAAAGGGCAGGGACTGGGAGTAAGGAAAGAACATCTGTTCAAGGCAAAACACTGATTACCAAAGTTTCTATCATCCTTATGTTGACAACGGACATAATTTTAACCTTTTGTATAAGCCAGACTGTAAAGGATTATTAGCAGAATAAAAGCATCTATTGGGCCTGGTGCAGTGGCTCACGCCTGTAATCCAAGCACTTTGGGAGGCCGAGGCGGGCGGATCACCTGAGGTTGGGAGTTAGAGACCAGCCTGACCAACATGGAGAAACTCTGTCTCTACTAAAAATACCAAAGTAGCCGAGCGTGGTGGCACATGCCTGTAATCTCAGCTGCTCGGGAGGCTGAGGCAGGAGAATCGCTTGAACCCAGGTGGCGGAGGTTGCGGTGAGCTGAGATCGTGCCATTGCATTCCAGCCTGGGCAACAAGAGCACAACTCTGTCTCAAAAAAAAAAAAAAAAAAAAAGCATCTATTGAATGTGTACCAAGTGCCAATACCAGACACCAGGCTAGGTGCATTGTATTCTTAGCTCATTTAATCCTGAAAGAGCCCTACGTGGTAAGATTTTTTTCTTTTTACAACTTTATGATATATAATTTATATACTGTAAAACTCACTCATTTAAAGTGTACAATTCGGTAGCTTTCAGTATATTCACAGAGTTGTGCATCCATCATCATCAATTTTAAAACATTTCCATCACCCTGAAAAGAAATCTCACACCTCTTAACTATCACACCCTAATTCCTCATTTCCCCCAGCCTGAGGCAACGACTCATCTACTTTCTGTCTCTATGGATTTGCCTATTCTAAACGTTTCACATAAATGGAAACATACAATATGAGATCTGGCTTCTTTCATGTGGCATAATGTTTTCAAGGTTCCTCCA
The DNA here is from genome assembly GCF_000001405.40 of Homo sapiens. Classification (NCBI taxonomy): domain Eukaryota; kingdom Metazoa; phylum Chordata; class Mammalia; order Primates; family Hominidae; genus Homo; species Homo sapiens. The sequence continues at coordinate 54,974,474 of NC_000001.11, read as the reverse complement.
TGTTGAAGCATGTATCAGTTCATTCCTTTTTATTGCTGAGTAATATTCCATTGTATGATATAAAACATTTTGTTTACTTACTGTTTGGTTGACAGACATTTTAGTTGTTTCTACTTTTTGGCTATTATGGATACTGCAGCTGTGAACATTCAGATACTAGTTTTTGTGTGAAAGATAAAAAATATGTTTTTATTTCCCTCAGTTATGTAATTTAGGCATGAACTTGCTGGTCATATGGCTAACTCTATATTTAACTGATTCTGGATAAGGTAGGAATTTTTATTTCCACCTAAGGATTGAGGAAACTGAGGCTCAGAGAAATTCAAATAACCAAGATCACAGAACAGAGTGTGTTTAAACTCAGGTCCATCCAACACCAAAGTTCTATACCCACTTGATTCTATGTACACATAAAATAGTACAGAAGTCTCTTTTACAATCCACCTCTCAAGATATTCATTTAGTGATTGCAGTGATCTTTGTTTAATCTGCTGTATCCAAAAAGTTATATTGCCTAGAAGGTTACACATAGTAGGTGCTCAATAAATACTTGTTCAGTGAAGGAGAGGCTGAATCAGTGTGGATGATTTGAAGGTGAATGACTAAGGTTGTGGCAAATCCTCCAAGATTCCTGTTGGGTCCAGAGTTGCATCAGACTTGGTGCCAAGATGATTTTTCAGGCTCTTGGAGCTGGCTCCAGCCACCCTGCAAGGGACACACTCTTCCCTTGAAACCAACCTTGAAAGGCCCTGCTGGTTCCTGGAATTCTGTGCCTGGGAGACAGCCTATTCATGGAGAGAAGTAGCTGCGTCCTCTGAGTTTATGCTCTAAAAAAGGAAATGACAGTCTGTGGGTAAGAAATGGATTAGAAACCTCAAGGCTTTGCCTTCCTTGGAATACATTTTTTGCCCAAGTGTGTCAGCCAGGGCTATTCTGCGGCTGCTGTTCTGGGAGGGCAGCCCTGGAACTTGGAACTTGGGGAAGCTGCATGCCAGCGGGAGGAGGAAATCTTGTCTGGGAACCAAGACAAAGAGCTAAGAGCTGGGAGGGTCTGTGGATGGAGAGGGCTGGTGACAGCCTGGACTCCAAGAGTGACCTCAGGGATTCAGGCAGACCCATGAAAAGGCTCAGATTCCGGGAAAGAGCCAGCTGCTCCCTCTGTTGACAGATTCTAAAAATCACAGCAAGCCCAGCTGTCAGTGTTGCAAAATCTCAATGTGCCGAAATTGGATGGGTGGGAAGACAGCTGGACAGGAGGGGCTGGTTCTGGTCCTGACTGTGACTTGTGGCCTTGGCCAAGTCCTCGCACCCTCCCAGTCTCAGTTTCCCGATCTGTAAAAAGTCGGATGTCCTTTCAAGTTCTGAGACTCTATGCTGGGGCTTAGTTCTCTTTCTTCCTCTTCTCCGTCCTCTTATTTTGAATTGAACTCACTAATCCACAAGTTTCCATTCAAATTGAATAGAAATCCTGGACTTTGTTGAGTCAGCATCTGGAGGCTCTTCTGGAATCACCTGCCTGCTACCCCAGGATTTCTAAAGAACCCCACTTCCTGCCTTAACCCCTGCCCCATGCACCAATCCCCCTCCCCATAGAGCCCCATTCACCCAAGGGCTGATGTCCCTCAAGAACCTCCTACTCAGCCCATTCAGACCAAATCATCCTTTCCCTCTAAGCCTTCTCCAGGCTCAGAGAATTGCACCTTTATCTGACCCTCCACCCACCCAACCCAGAACACCAGGGGCAGCAAAACGATACCCTGGTAGAAATGCAATCTCTTGCTCCCCTTTCCGGGCCTGGCTTCTCAACAGCTGAATGACAGGTTGGGCTTGATGGTGCCCAAGTATGGTGACAGGCCTGAATGCCGATTTACTCCTGACTCTGCCATTAGCCTGCAGAGTGACCCTGGCCAAGTAAGTCATTGCTGTCTGTGGCCTCGGTTTCCCCATCAGTAATTGAAATGGACCAGATGAGTGGGAACACACTGGCATTGGGGGCAGGAAATCTGGCTTCACCTAATGACCACCTAATGAATTAGGCTTCACCTAATTCATCACGCAGCCCTGGGCCAGTCCCTTCCCAGGTGGGCCACAGTTTTCCCTTCTGTCCAATGGGGAGGGTTGGCCTGCCTGCTCTCCAAGGTCCCCCTACCCCTACCTCTGACATTTTGGGACTCTAGCACCAGATTCTTTAGGTCATTTAACAGTTCCAGGATGTGTTTGTCTCCTCTCAATCACTGTAGAAGCTTCCAGATTGTTCTTTGGAACATTTGGAGGTCCCTTAACCACTGTGGCTTCCCAGAGCTGGAGAAAACTTGGCCAGCAGGAGCTTATATTCCATTATTTTAAATATAAAAATTAATATTGTATTCACAGCCCACCTAAAAAGCCCAGCCAATTTGTCCAAATAGCAGTAAAACATCCTTAAACATCTATTTAACAAACAACTAAGGGTTTCTACACAATATGAAGCCTTATAATCTCTATATAATACAAAGTGTTGACCTCATTTGATGTTATTGATACATAATGATACTGTACAGTAGTAGATGCATGTTATATTTTCTTTCAATGAACATTTACTGTAATGTAAATTACACTGAATGGTATATTAAACATGTACTGACTACAAGTGCCAGTTAGCATAACAAAATACATAAATAAACAAATTTGAAAATCACACTAATCAATAGAATAGTTTCCTCCGTGAGGTACAAGGGCAAGAGGAGGAGGTGGTGGCTATAAGTGGTAGGTGAGATGCCTGAGGTTGGTCCGTGTCCACATCCCAGGAACTGGGGATACCCTTTCTTTTTGACATTTGAGATTCAGGAAGTAAATGCCTCTGACTCATTATCTGAAGCCATAAATGAATCATTGGGTTAAAAAAAAATCCAAGTGCATACCTGTTTGCTTTTCCTTTGCTTACAGTTGTACAGCTCTGGGACCATGCTCTGGTCATTGCGTTTTTGCATACAACTAATCTGCTTGTGTCAAGGCCACACTCTCTTGTCATCATAGCTTGCCTGCCTGACGCAGGCGTGGGTGATGGGCACGTGCATCACCAGCCTCATTCTGTGCACGTGCCCCTGCCCTCAGCACTCTTCATCACTTCTGCTTTTTCTGTTAATGAAGAGTGTTTCTAGGCCACCTAAGCTCACTCACTTTCTTCCCTGGTTTTGCATTTTCCTAAAAGATATTTGCACTTATAATGTGAGGAAGATGCCAGCAAATGATGCCCAACACATTTGGACAATGCAATAAAGGGAGAAAGAGCTGAAACCGGACTGCGGTGCACACTACATAACGCTCACAGGAGCTCACCCACAACATACATGTTGTCACTGGCACACAAGTCGACCAATCAGGCAGGTATTCAATCAGGGCAGTGAATCATAGGTAATAACTTTGCAAGTCATCATCATGAGTATTCAGATAAAGAGGTTCAAATATCAAGGAATACCTGAATTTGACTGGTTATTTGTAATCCCCACAACTGCTGTTATTCCTGCTTCACAGATGGGGAAACTGAGACTCAGAGGGCTGAATTAACCCGAATGGAAACAAGATCTGTCATCCACTGTGTCCCCGTTCTTTCCGCCTCACAGCATGGCCCTGCACACATTGGGCTCTGCTTCTCCCCCACCCTATCGCCATTGGGCTAGATGGGGATTTTCTGTCACTCCCAATCTCTCCTTTGGCTCTCTTTTTCTGCCCTTACTAATCCCATGTCCCCGACCAGCCCCCTTTCTCTTCCTACCAAGCACAGATCATTAACACCACCTTAGTCACATGCTACTTGCCCTTAAAAAAGAAAAGGTATACCGGCCGGGCGTGGTGGCTCAAGCCTGTAATCCCAGCACTTTGGGAGGCCAAGGCGGGTGGATCACCTGAGGTCAGGAGTTCAAGACCAGCCTGGCCAACATGGAGAAACCCTATCTCTACTAAAAGTACAAAAATTAGCTGGGCGTGGTGGCGGGCGCCTATAATCCCAGCTACTCAGGAGGCTGAGGCAAAAGAATCGCTTGAACCGGGGGCGGGGAGGGGCAGGAGGGCGGGGGTTGCAGTGAGCCAAAATCATACTGCTTCACTTCAGCCTAGCAAAGAGTGAAACTCTGTCTCAACAAAAAAAAAAAAAAAAAGAAAAAAGAAAAAAAGGAAAAGGTATAAAGAAGGAATACATAGCCAAGTGAATCCTGGCTTCCTCTTCTCCAATGCCTGCAAATGAGGTCACTGCTCCCTCAACCACCAAAATAAATATACAGCCATACAGCCTGCCCCCCAACCCTCACAGGGCTCTGGGTAGAGTTCTGTGACCCCCTCCTTTGGTGACCAGGTGTCCACTGACTGTGCTGGACTGGGCAGAGCATGTGATGGCCCTTGCTACATTGCCCTAGACAACCTCATTCACTGCCGTGACTTCAGTTACTACTTCTCAGCTGATAAATTTTCATATCCAGCCTAGAGCCTCCTCCTAAACCTCAAACCCATTATCCTGGATTTCCAGCCTCATATGGCATAACCTGATCACCCTCTTGTGGTTCCAGCACCCACCCTTGCTCCTTCCTGTCTTTCAGGCTCCATATCTAATCAATAACCATGTCTGCTGATTTTGCTCTGGAAATATGTTTTCTATCCATTCATTGGCTGTCCATACCAAGACAGCCATCTCTGTTCCAGGCCTCTCATCTCCCCCCAAGACCACTGCAATAATTTCCCTCTGGTCCCTGGCCTCCTCACTCCAGTTCATTCCCCTCATGGCAGCTACCTGATCGCGCCACCTGCTTTGCTTAGGATTCTTTAATTTGCCAGAAACCAAATCTGATTAAAGTTAGGCAAGAACCGATTTAATATTGGGACATAGGACTACCTCACGTCACCATGAAAAGGGCAGGGATGAAAGCCAGGGTACCTTGACTCAATACCATCAGAATTCTCACCTGAAGTTTTGTGTTTTTACTTTTCCTGGTATATTGGTTTCACTCTCTCCTAATTCATACCAGTTTCTGCTATGGGATGGGCAACGTTAGCCACTTATCACCCCCAAGCTGCATATTCCTTATCTTCATCTAGCTGTCACCTCCAATACCAGCTACCACCTTTTGTTCTAGGTCTTAAAAATTCTGGGGACAATCACTTGAATGAGGTGCCCACCCCTGGACCAATAAACTGTGGCCAGGCAGCGGAGTCATGTAGCAAAGAAATGACAATGGGGGCCCATCCCTGCATATCAGGGCCTTTCTAGAGATGCGGGAAACTGACCAAGGCAGCCAGCCATCTAGATTGATGATGTCTATCGCGAAGGACTCCTCACTCATTTTAGTGCCGTCATCTTATTTTCTTAGTGGCGATTACATTGCCCCTTTGAGAATTTGATAAAAGGCATAGACTTTATTCCTAGAAAAATGGGCATTCCACAGATTTTGCATAAATTACAAGAGACGTGTAGACTGTCTAAAGCCCAATCTATGGTCCTCAAGTGAAGAGCTCCTGCCTTGGAATCAACGTCTTTGCCTGGCTTCCAAAGCCTAGCATGCTCTGAGCCCATCACTCTGCATCGGCCCCTTGTCCTTAGCACCTATTCTCTAGCCATGCCTGACTCCACATGTGGACAGAGTTGCTCCACATTTTTGCTTGTGTTTCTTCGCTGCACCACACACATGGAATTCATCCTGCAAAACTCAGTTCATGAATCAGCTCCTCCAGGAAAAGTCCCTGATTCCAGTCTACCCAAGCTGAGTTTCTAGATTCAAATTGCCTCTGATACCCCCAAACGCCATTACAAATCATTCCTAGTAAGGCTTGAAAGTGTTCTGGAAACTGTCCAGGTAGTCATAGAAGCATAAAGCACACACATCGATGAAAAGCAATTCTTGGCTATCTCCCAATAGACATTATTATGGTCCAGGCAAAGTGGGCCAAATCCAGGCTGTTTTTGTATAGCCTGTGAACTAAGAATAGTTTTTATATTTTTGAATCATCGACAAAAAAAAATAAAAATAATAATATTTTATGACATATAAAAATTATGTGAAATTCGGCCAGGCACGGTGGCTCACACCTGTAATCCCAGCACTTTGGGAGGCCGAGGTGGGCAGATCACGAGGTCAGGAGTTCGAGACCAACCTGGCCAACATAGTGAAACTTCGTCTCTACTAAAAATACAAAAATTAGCCGGGTGTGGTGGCATGCGCCTGTAGTCCCAGCCACTCGGGAGGCTGAGGCAGAAGAATCACTTGAACCCAGGAGATGGAGGCTGCAGCGAGCCGAGATTGCCCCACCGCACATCAGCCCAGGCGACAGTGTGAGTCTTCATCTCAAAAAAAAAAAAAAATTATGTGAAATTCAAAAGCCAGTGTCCAAAAATAGCTTTATTGAACACAGCCACACTCATTTAAGATTTCCGTATTGTCTATGGCTTCCTTAACATTACGAGAGCAAATTTGAGTCATTACAACAGAGACCATACGGCCCACAAAGCCTAAAATATTTACTATCTGAACTTCTACAGAAAAGTTTTCTGATCTTTATTGTAGATACTCCAAAGAACTGCCATATTTTATTGAAAGTAAGATGGCATCAATTGCATGACACCATTAGTTCGTGTGCCACCAAGAAAGAAAGGATGCTGCCAATTAGGCCTTAACAATGAACCTCGGTATCAGAAATATTCAAATTTAGGGGGAAGATGCCTCTTTGGAATGGATTAAATTGTTCTTGAATCCCTATCATGTGTCAGAAAATATGATAGTTATTTTATAATCATTTTCCTAATTAACAATTCCTGGTTATTTGTTATCCCAATTAAACTTTTTCCAAGAGGAAAGAACCATTGTGCCTATATCATAGAAGAAGAAACAGGCTCCGAGGGGTTAAGTGACATGCCCAAGGCCACGGAGATGAGTCAGAGGTCTGACTCCACAGCCTCTTTCCCACTTAATCAGGCTGCAGTGCCTTTCCAGATTCTCCATCTCTTCCCCTGAACCCCGCACTCCAGCTGTGATCAAGTGGGAACCTCAGGTTCTCCTGCCCCCGAGCCGGTACAAAAGGTCTTCCTTCCACTGCCATGTCCCTTGCCCACTCATCCTTCCCACTGCTGCCAAGCCATCCCTTTCCTGAGGAGGTGTTCCCAAATCAGATGAGCACCCCTTTTTTGAGCACTCCCCAAAAGTGTCAGTTTACCTTCCTATTTCTCCATGACTAGCCTGGGTTCCTCAGAGACGGGAATGTTCTCCCTGCACCATCACCAGTACCTGGTGCGGCCCTTCATGCAGAGTGGGAACCCAGCGCTCACTGGCTGTGTGGATCAGCGAGAAATGGGTGGAGGCTCACAGCAAGCAGAGAGGGTAAACATTTTTAAATTACACATTGTCCATTTGATCCCTGGTTCTTACAGCCAACCTCAATCCTCTGTCTCCCACACTTTGCAGACCAGAAGATGGGCATCGAACACAGCAGTGCTTGAGGCCATCACTTGGAAAACTCGTTTCTCCCTGAGTCGCCTCATTTGGGTGTCATTTCCCCAACACTGTTCTCCTGGTCCCAGGGACCAACTCTGTTCTCTACTTTTTCTGTCTCTCATCCACTTGCCCAGCAGCACCTCCTCTCTGGTCAGGCATGGCCGTCATGACCTCAGGGCTGGTCACCATGCCGCTGACTGTTCGAACGTTTCCTCTAATTCTCAGCCGTGCTCTCAGAGATCCCCCATTCTCCACTGACCCCCTGATTGGGCTCTGAAGATGGAGGGTCACAGGTATCTCCTGCTCACACCACCAGCCCCTCTTCTTAGACTCCTAGAAAGCTCCCCTCTGCCCCAGAGAAAGGCAGCGTTGTTTGTTCTTATGGAAATTTCAGCTTCAAGAGGGGATATGGAAGACTTAAAAGTCTATTTGTGAATTATCTAATCTTGTAGATTGACCACTTCATCAGCAGTCCAGTCGCATCCTTGCTAAGAGGAAGAAGAATCTATCAGTCAGGAATACTTTCAGCTACAACAGATAACTCAACTAGCAGTCGTTTAAATCAATATGAATGTATTTTTCTCAAGAAGTCTAGAGGGAGGCATTTATTCCAGTTAGCTCAGCAGCTCAACGTTGCCAACAAGAGCTTATGATCTTCCGTACTTCTGTTCTTGCCAGCCTTTTCTTTGGCCTTTCATCCTCACGCTGACACGATGGCTGCTACAGCTCCAGACATTCGAGGCAGAACGAAAGGGGAAGAACTGGCATCAATCTACAGCTGTCCCTTTTATTGAAAAGCAAAAGCCTTCACAGAAGCCTCTACCCACAGCCCCACAGCAGACTTCTCCTTACTCTCATTGGTCAGAACTGAGTCACCTGACTACACCTAGCTGCAAGAGGAAGAGGGTTGTCATAACTGACCAAGAATAATGATTCATTAGCTGGGCCAGAGAACACAGATGCCCGAAACAGCCATGGAAGGAAACAAGTATGAAAATAGGATAGCCAACTGTAGTGGGTACAGTGAATAGGCTTGCTCATCCCCATTTCCAACTCCTTCCCAGCATGCAAAGGCTGGAAAGCAAAAAACCATGTTTTCCAGACTTGCTTGCTGCTAGCATCACAAATGAAATTTTGGTTTCTCCAGTCAGTTGCACATGAATAGGATTTTGAGTCTAGTGAAGAAACCGGAAGGATGAAGACATTTTGTGGGCATGGGTCCAGCACTGCTTCCTCGTTGTCAAGGGCAGTCTTGCTGATTAGGATAGAAGCAGCAGTTCCCTGGGTGGGCCAGCTCTCTGCTGGTGTTGAGAGCTGTTTCTAGAAGCTCAGCCTAGTGTCTGTGTCTTCAGCCCTCTGAGGCTGTGCACCATCTAAACCCCTTAATGAATCCCTTTTTTCTTTTTTTTGAGACCGAGTTTCGCTCTTGTTCCCCAGGCTGGAGTACAGTGGCAGGATCTCGGCTCACTGCAACATCCACCTCCCAGGTTCAAGCAATTCTCTTGCCTCAGCCTCCCGAGTAGCTGGGATTACAAGCTGCCCGCCACCACACCTGGCTAATTTTTGTAATTTTAGTAATTTTAGTAGAGATGGGGTTTCACCATGTTGACCAGGTTTGTCTCGAACTCCTGACCTCAGGTGATTGACCCACCCTGGCCTCCCAAAGTGCAGGGATTACAGGCTTGAGCCACTGCACCCAGCCAAATCCCTTTTTTCTTAAACACACCACTGAAGTGGACATTATTAGTTCCACTTCACAGATGAGTAAACAGAGGCTCCACTAGAAAAGCTAAATATCTTGTTTCAGGTAACCCTACTAATAGTGGCACAACTAAAATTTAAACCAGGTCTGTCCAATGCAAAAACCTATGTTCTCCCCTCCTGTACCCACCCAGCTGTCTTGACAGTCAAGGTATGGAAAAGGTTTTCCACTCCTGCAAAGGAGTTAAAAGTTTAGTTAGCAATAGAAGACACAGTAGATAACAGTGGTAAAAGGTAAGATTTCAGAGCTGCTATGATAGTGTTATGGCAGGGGTCCCAAGAGTGTCTTGATCCTGCCCTATTCTTGTCATAGGTTTCCTGCCCAAGGCAGCTATAGACCAGGAACAATGGCTGAATGGGAATTGGTAGCCTACTTTATTAGCATTTGGGTCAGTGCCTAATAACTGCCAAAATGATTAAAGTCTGAGGTAGATCATAAAACTTAGACTTGAGGGCAAAGCGAGACTTTCTACCTGTCCCCAGGTTTGCAGGGGTCCAGTAAGGTCAGGTGAGTTCTGGCCTTTAAGGAACAGTAATTTTGCTTAGTGCTATAACTGGGTTCAGTAAATGTCTCAGGCTCAGATGAAGCCCATCAATGGCTTATGGGGTTGAAGAGGTGAGCAGAGGCAGGTCTGATCACAAAGGAAGTCAGAGAACACATCTATCTTACACAAACACTTTCAGAGAATTGAAAAAGAAGGAACACTTTCCAATTCATTTTATGGGACCAAATCAACATTAATACCAAAACCTGACAAGGACATTACATGAGAGGAAAAATATAGGATAATTTCTTTCATGAACATAGATACAAATCCTAAACAAAATATTAGAAAATTAGATATAGTATGCCATTGCACTCCAGCCTGGGTGACAAGAGCAAGACTTCGTCTCAAAACAAACAAAAAAAAGAAAATTAGATGTAGTAATACATACATAAAAAGAATATTACATTACAACCAAGTTGGTTTTATTTCCAAAGTGCAAGGTTGATCAAGCAACATGGGGTGGGTGTGGTGGCTCAGGCCTATAATATCAGTACTTTGGGAGGCCAACGTAGGCAAATTGCTTGAGCCAGGAGTTCGAGACCAGCCTGGGCAACATGGAGAGACCGTTTCTACAAAAGATACAAAAATTAGCTGGGTGTGGTGGCATGTGTCTGTAGTCCCAGCTACTTGGGAGGCTGAAGCGAGAGCATCACCTGAGCCCAGGAGACTGAGGCTGCAGTGAGCCATGATTATGCCACTACACTCCAGCCTGGGCAACACAGTGAGACCCTGTCTCAAAAAAGAAAAATATTAAGCAACAGAAATCAGGGTTTGTCAACCTCAGCACTATTGTTACCGGTGGAGGCTGTCCAGGTCCTTGGCATCTTGAACAAAGAATTGGACAAAACACACAAACAAAGTGAAGAAAGAATGAAGAAATTTTATTGACAATGAAAGTACACTCCACAATGTGGGACCGGGGCCCTGTTACAGAATTTTTGGGAGTTTAAATACCCTCTAGAGGATTCCACTGGTTAGCTGGTGTATGCCCTGTGTAAATGAAGAGGGTGAAGTAAAGTTACATAGTCATTTACTCTGCATCTGCCCTATGGAGAGGATATTTCCTGTCATAGCTGAAGCGTGAATCTGCCTTATATTCCCTGCCTCCAGACCCTATTTTCCTGCCTCATTTCCTCTGTAAGAGATGTGATCCCCATAAATCTTCATGGGAGGCAGAGGGACCAATCGTCTTTTTTCTGTAACTGCTTCATGCTGGCTTGCGGCATAGTCTCTACCTATTAAGGATGACGGAACTCTCTCCCTGCTCTGTCTAGTGGAGGCGGGGTAGCTTCTTGATGGTCAGGGGTGGTGTCTTCACCTGGAACTGGCTGGAAGCTTTGTTGCATGATCATCTAAAACTTGGTGGTCTCTAGGAGAGAAGAAATGAATTTGGCTAAAAGATTTAATGGGAACTTCAGGGGGTGGATACCTCTGTTGTCAAGAATGTTTGCTATAGAGATTTGCAGGAGAAAAAACAAAACCTGGTCTGTTCTAGAATCTGTGTTTCCTTAAAGTCTTAGCACAAGTGACTCCATTTTTGTTTGGTTTGGTCTGTTGGGGCTTAGTGCATGAGCTTAGTCCAAAACAATAGCCTCCCAGAATTTTGTTTAAAATATTCCCCCTTTTTGGTCAGGTTCTCACTTAGGTAAGAGTGTGACCAAAACTTAGGGCCTTAGCACCACTCTCAGTTACTATCATTTTTGGTTTCCAGTCTCAGCCCGTCATTCATGGGTTGTGGTGTCTTCACGGTTGTACATTTCTCTCAGCTTTTGTCATTCCAGTTGAAGAGAGACCATATGACATTCTAGAGATGGCTGCATGCAAGCATTTAAAACCTTTGAGAGAATACAGCACACCAGGGAGACTATTATTATTACTATTGGGAGGATAATACCAAGAATTCAGAGTATGCTTCTTACCCAAGGTACCCATAAACCAAACCTCCTAAAACCAAATAGATCAAAGGTTGACTTAAAGAAGCAGTTTCGTTGTTAATCCACTACAACTGAATTTCTATAATACCAGATGTTTTCTCCATAGGCCATGAGTGCCAGCAGCTGCACAGATACATCTCTGTTCAGCCAATTCTATCGTAACTTTCACAAGAGAATTTAGTTTGTGTCCTTTACAGTAGAATTTGCTATAGAGCCTATCATGAGGGATACATTTTTAATCATTGCTTCTTTTACTTTAAACCATGGAAAAAGGACCTAACAAATGATGCCCTTCTAGAAGAATGAAGGCCTCCTGGCAATGTTCTCTTTAACCCATGATGTGGGTTAAGAGGAATGAACCAATGTTTTGTTTCTGACTGATTATGAGGCAACATATGTACCACTAAAGTTTCTCACCTACTTTGGGCCTTCATCTTTTATCTATCAAAGTATAAGTTTATTCTTGTATAAGCCTGGCTGCAAACTCCTTCACAAATAAAAGTACACCCCATAAGGTCACACAACAGACCTCTTTTCTAATTCTATTGTTCAGAGAGGCATAAGCAAGGGAAATACTCATAGATGAGAGTTTCATGATAGTAGAAGTCTTAATCTGTGAACTTGGGAAAAGCTATTTACATCAAGGATGCCATCCTCCTCTGGGGAGAAATCTCAAGGGTTCCAATGGGTACACAGTTCCAAGAATATGGAGATACCCTTCTCAGTTGTGAGATTATGAACCCAAAGTTCAAGGTCCCGAAGTTCTGTTGTAGTGTGGATGGCAACAACAGTTCTTTCTCTGATCTTCCCAAAAGATTCAAACCATAAAAAGCTTTCTTTACCCAGTGAAAACACACTGTAGCATAATGATCTGCTGTTATAACATCAGCCCTCTTGCATGGGAAAGCTTTTATCAACCAGAAAATATGCATTGATAATAACAATTGAATGAAATTCCTTTATAAGATGTTTAAATGGCCCATCAGGTTACCAAGTGTACCCGATGCTTTAACTGTTTTCCCAGGAATATGGGACTAAACATTGGTTATAAACTATTTTTGTAATTTGTAAGTTACCACACCAATGTATTTAATTTGGATTATTTTATCTTTTCCATGATGAGTCATGGAACGCAAAACTTTTAATAATAAAATCTTTAAGGACTCAGGGAGGACAAGGTGATTATCCTGGTTCTCCAGAAGGCCATGCTTAATTAACATTAGACTAATATCCTCTTGAGTGCCAGTTGTTTTTCTAAATCACAGCACTGATAACTGATGGATTATCATAGGTAATTCGACTTAGACCGTGAAGTTTATTCAAACTGTATATCTAAACAATTTCAGTATCAGCTGGTTTAACATGAAAATCTGACAAAGTATTTTCTTGGTATTTAATTACTTTTTTTTCTACTTGGGTTAGTAGCTTTATAAAAGGAAATTTGGTTATTTCTGTGGTTTACTATAACTTAACATAATAACCATAATTATAATTGATTGATAGAATACACTTAGATGTTAGAATTTTAGAAATCTCATACAATTTTGGAACATATATTAGTATTATTTACAAAAATGTAACTTAAAGAAGACTGGACATCATTCTGGCAACCCTGTGTACTTAAACATGTTAAATAACCCTGTTTACCTCTTTTCTGGATGTTTTCAGGGGCCTCTGATCCATCTAAAAAGCCAGGCATTAGAAAGACAATTTTGAAACTAAATTATTTATTTGGCCAAAATGATGACTCAGAAATTTTAAAGAAGGAAAAACCTTTTATAACCTTTGACAAAAAAACCCCACACATTTTACTGTCCTTACACACCTTGCATGTAAAACTGTTTCTAGCAGTCTTAATTGCATGTTATAATGCTGGCTCTTAGCAATTTTAATTTTAATGTAAAATCTAGTAAGTTATGTTAATTATGTGCTAGGTGCTAATAAGGTCTGATTATTTCCAGCATAGCTAGGGGTGTGGCCAACTCCACATGTCCCCAGGCCTTACCTAGCAGTAAAGGAGGCGAGTTAAACAATTTTCAAAAGCCAAAGAAGCAGCTTATGACCTTAAAGCATATAGCAAACCTAATATTTGAACATAATTTGGACCACATATTTACATTTTGAAGACATTTGTATTCTACTAATAATCATTAAAATCATCTTTATTTCCCAAGAATTACTCACGTCACATGAATTAAATAAAAGGCATTGCACTTTTTACTTTTCTGACAAAATATTTTATTTAAGCTCTTATTATTATTAAACCAATTAATTTAAAACCTTGTAGAGGAAATAAACAGTGGCTTTTACCTTTCATTTAACCAGTTTGCACAGAGAGAAAGAGACCAGAGACTGACTGGTAAGAAATTCTTACCCTTTTGCTGGCATGCCAGGTTTCTGGGCTCTCTCTCCCTGAGTAGCCCTGGAGACCCTGCTTGACTGGATGCAAAAAAACACATTGCCATGAATTAAGAATATTCACAAATAGTTTATAAATTTTGGAGAAATTAGGCAAAGAGAGAGAAATATGTCTTAAATTCTATTTGTGAGAGTATACTCAACACACTTAACGTATCAAGAACCCTAAAATCTAAAAAGTTAGTTTAAGGTTAAAAGGCTAGTGTGCTCCATTAATTCCTGCGGACCTGACAAAGGTAGCTTAGGAATTCCAGATAGATGAAACAAAGGATGACTTGCTAGAAATGCATAGGAAACAAAAACAACTATTCACAGAATGAAATAAGAGCCTTCCACTAAAAACTAAAAAAATCATGGTTTGTTTTGTTTTGTTTTGTTTTGTTTCTTGAGATGGAGTCTTGCTTTGTCACCCTGGCTGGAGTGCAGTGGCACGATCTTGGCTCACTGCAACCTCTGCCTCCTGGCTTCAAGCTGTTCTCTGCCTCAGCCTCCCAAGTAGCTGGGATTACAGGCTCCTGCCACCATGCCCAGCTAATTTTTGTATTTTTAGTAGAGACGGGGTTTCATCATCTTGGCCAGGCTGGTTTTGAACTCCTGACCTCATGATCCATCCACCTCAGCCTCCCAAAGTGCTGGGATTACAGGCATGAGCCACCATGCCAGGCTAAAAAACATCATGGTTTTATATATATGCATACATAAACAAAATCTAGCAGAGAATAAACAGCAAACAAATGAAAACTAGATGCAAAAATTAATAAACAGGAAAACAACCCTAAATCTTTTCTACTTAATTTACTGTGGAAGCTATAGTGTTATACAGAGCTCCCCCACCAAAAAAAAAAAAAAAACCCACATCATACATCCTGTGCAATTAAGAAATTCACTTTAGGCACGTGACCAATAAGTACTCCAGTGCCGGCACTATCTACACAAACAGTAAACATGGTGTGAAGCAATGCAAGTGTGTATGTGAAATTTGGCTCCACACTAAATCTGGCTTCATGCTTAACTACATTAAAAAAAAAAAAAAAAGAACTGCCAAACTGCCGATGCATTTTCTACAATACTTCCAATACTTCTTATTTTATTTTAATCAAGACTAAGAGCTTTAACTACAAAAATGTTAATTAGCCAAATGTCTCCAATTCTTTATCAGGTTTTAAAGAATATTTTATTATCTAAACTTTTTCCACATTTTTCTCCCCTACTACTTAATGGTTCCTTACTACATTGTTTCATAAATAACCTTTTCAAATCTGTAATTTGAACTAACTTTTGGATAACTTCTGAATTAGACAAAATTATTCTTTTTCTCACTAATAACCCTTTTGGGCACATTTTGTACACAGAATTATGTGTTAACTAGGATTCTTATGCTAAAATTTTAGTGAAACCCTAAAAAGCAAGAAATCCTGAACTATTAGATATGGGCATTTATAGATAAGAATAATTCCACAATTTTAGAAACATATTTCCCCATATCACAACACTTTCATAATTGGAAATGACCCAGATATTAAATGAGCATGAAAAATAACTTTAAGATTTTAATTTATGCAAAAGGTTTACCTAAAACATTTATCCCATTCAGTACTCAATTCTTTCACTTTTAACAAGGGAGGCATGAGACATTAATTAACATATGTAAAATGAACATTGGTTCTGTCTGGAAAGGCAGGAAAACTCAAAGCGGGAGAGGGGACTTGGGGCTTCCAGGTCACAGGTAGGTGTGAGATAAATGGTTGTATTCTTTTGAGTTTCTGATTAGCCTTTCCAAAGGAGGCAGTTAGATATGCATTTATCTTAGTGAGACTTTGAATAGAATGGGAGGCAGGCTCAAGCAGCTCCCACTCTAAATCTTCCCTTCAGCCTAGTAATTTTGGGGGTCCCAAGATATTTTCCTTTTATAAATTACTCACATTTGTCAAAAGAAAGCACACAAACCAAGATTATTTTGTTTTGGCTGGGTTTATAGTTTTATAACCTTCCACGCCAAACACGGACATCTCAAAATATCTAGCAAAGACAAACATAAAATTCAGACAAAATGTATGCTGACAGTTCTGAAGGCATTTTTACTTTTATTCCAATAATTTTAAAGCTAGCTTGCTTAGTAAAGTTGCACTTAAGTCATGTGAACTTGAAAATTGCTTAGGCTTATTTACTTAATTTATAAGCCCTCTTTTACTTATAAGCCAATTTGGTAGACACAACATGGAACAATAAGTGTACATACAAATAAACACATATAGACATGTATACACACACAAATGAAGATCCAATAGCTTGGAACCTTAGCCATGAGATAGCAGTACAAAAGACATGTATATACCCACACACAAACAAAGATCCAATAGCTTGGAACCTTAGCCATGAGATAGCAATGTTGGGAATGAAGTTTTTGGTGTTGCAAAAGCCCAGCTAGCTCAGTCGGTAGAGCATGAGACTCTTAATCTCAGGGTCATGGGTTTGAGCCCCACGTTTGGTGCCAAATTGTTGTGAATTAAGATTTCGGTGTCACAAAAAAAAAAGAATTAATGCAGGAACAAATGATCTCTCAGCAAGGTGAGCTTTACTTTCTGCAGAAAGGGTGCTACTCAGTAGCTGTCCAGCCACAAGAGAACACCGAACAAAGGAGACAGAGTTATTTATAATCTGATGCATTTACCCTACTGCTGTGTCCAGTTTCCACTGGCTGGAATAGGACCTCACACTTTACACTTTACCCGATTGTGGCTATTAGCTTAAAACTTTCTTAATTAGGTAAGGGGAACAGAACAAAGAAAGAAAAGGAAGTTATCTAGGGATAGTTAAGGAAGAATCTCCAAATAAGGAATGGCATGCACTATGGGCTGGGGCTTGCCTAGTTCTGTCCAGGTATGCCGGAGCAAGCTAGGACAGCTGATTTGGAATATATATATATATATACATATATATATCAAATATATATATGTGTATATATATACACACATATATATATCAAATATATATGTGTATATATATCAAATATATATGTGTATATATATATCAAATATATATGTATATATATCAAATATATATATGTGTATATATATACACACACACATATGTACACACTAATAGTGGTTAACAGTGTTATAAGAAGAAATTATGACTTTTTATAATCTTTGAAGAAGAACTTTCCCATTTCTCACAGCAATACAAAGACATGTAGATACACACACAAACAAAGATCCAATAGCTTGGAACCTTAGCCATGAGACAGTAATACAAGCTCGTTGTTTTTACTTTGTTTGCACCAATAGATAATCCAATGAAGGCTGTGAACCAAAATTTCACGTAAGGCAGTCTCCATGGCAATTTGATTTTTAAAGGCCGAATTTCCCCAGACTCCAAAGAGTGCTGGGGCTCCAAACAGCACCAAAGGAGAGTGTCACACATTAACCAGGCTCCCTTCTTAGAACAGCAGCACAAAAGCCTGGATACATGCAATGCCATTCCACTTTCTCATTCAACGGTAAACTCCAGATTCCAAACAATGTTGGGTCCAAACAGCATTGCAACTGTGAGAGAAAATTAAAAGGAGGGCTTATTACTAGACCTCAGAACCTCTGCCAAGAGCATCCCCTTCAGGGAGGTTGAGGTCTGTAGGATCCCCTGGAGCATCCGTCCTCCTGTGGGGTCCAATCTTAGAGTATTACAAGTCTCTGACCTTAGGTGGGCACAGGTGCCACTTTGCATGCTTTCCCTCCAGAGCCTACTATGAGCTTTCTCTCGGTACCTGGGTGTAATCTCCGACTTTTAGCATCCTTATAATTTGTTAAGGCCACGCTTTCCCATGTTTCCCATTCCATGAACTTTAATGATAGGAACTGGAGGCTGGGTAGGCTTCTTTTGCCCTTAGCCAGTTGAATAGGGGAAGGAAAGAATTTAGCATAAAAAAATGGTTTAAGTCACCTGAAACGTGTGAGTTTGCTCTGCACTGGATCACATGTAGGGACCAGGGACCACAAGCAGAAAATATTTTTTTAAAAAAGAGTCCTTTCCCCTTCCAGTTAGGGCAATTATTCCCATTCACTCCTTGGCCTTCAGGCAATACCAGGGAATGACCCCAGCCAATTGCCCTCAATTTCCAAAGAGCTACTAGGAAATAGTGGCTGAAAGACTGAAAAAGAAAGGGGGAAGAAAAAAAAACAACCCTGGTCCCTTAAGCGAACAGGGTGGTGGCGGTTAGGCACCTCCATATGGGAACCCCTTAGTTTCACCAACCATGGCCAGAAACCTGCAGTTGCTTCTGTGTTTAGGCATTGTCCACCAAGGGTCTTGAGTTGGAAAGGAAAAGAGAGAGACAGAGACAGATTCCCCTGTATGGAGCAGAAAGAAAAGGGAAAAGGAGAAAAATAAATCCCAAACTTTGGGCCTAACTTCTCCTGGAATTTCTCCTGGCAGGCTCACCAAAATATGTTCCCGGTGAAGGGTGGCCAGGTTCTTGGCATCTTGAACAAAGAATTGGACAAAACACACAAACAAAGCAAGGAAAGAATGAAGAAATTTACTGAAAATGAAAGTTTACTCCACAGTGTGGCAGTGGGCCTGAGCATAGGGGCTCAGGGGCCCCATTACAGAATTTTGGGCAGTTTAAATACCCTCGAGAGGATCTCACTGGTTACTTGGTTTATGCCCTATGTAAATGAAGAGGAGGAAGTAAAGTTACAAAGTTATTTACTTGGCATACACCCTATGGAGAGGATATTTCCTGTCATAGCTGAAGTGTGAATCAGACTTATGTTCCCTGGCTCCAGACCTATTTTCCTGCTTCACTATTGGATCATTCTTTGTTGTGGAGGGCATTTTCTGTGCATTGTAGAAGGTTTAACAACACCCCTGGCTTCTATGCACTAAATACCAATCACACACACACACACACACACACCCAGCTGAGTTAATAAAAAATGTCTCCAGAAATTGCCAAATGTCCCCTAGAGAGAAAAATTAACATCAGTTGAGCACCACTGATGAAAGCACTGATGATTATCTCATTAACAGAAAAAGTAGAAAAATCTATAAGATTATTTTACCAGATGGAGGAAAAGCATTTGATAAAATTCAACGCCGATTTATTATTTTTTTAAGAATTAGCAGTCTAGAATAAGAGGAAATATTTAATCTGATAAAAGGTACCTACTTTTAAGCAAACATTTTAAATGTCTGTAAGCAAATATTTTAATTAATAGTGAAATATTGAAAGTTTTCCCACTGAGATGAGGAAAGAGACAAGGATGTCCACTGGCATTGATTGTATTACATTTTATTGGAGATGGTCGCTAGTGCAATAAGGTAAGGAAAATAAATAAAAACAGGAAGAAATAGGACTGTGATTATTTGCACATGATTGTCTACCTAGCAAATCCAAAAGCATCTGTAGATGAAGTTAGCAAGTTTACCATATACAACTTCAATAAAAAGTCAACTTTTTGAAATAAGCCCCTAATAAACAATCAGAATATAAAAGCAATGGGGACTATAATTACCTATGTCCTTTCCACCTCACTGGGCTGCTGTGAAGGTCACATTGGATCATTCCAGGTTAAAATGCCCTGAACATCAGTGTTTCTGAGGACAGAAGGGAGGGATTCCCACATCTTAGAGTCCTGGGGAAGGAACCTGGGGCTGGGACTTGAAGGATAGAAAGCAAGGAGGAACAGAAACCTCCAAAGTCCAGCTCTGCTTGCCTCTCCAGCCTCCTCCCTGCAGCCCCCACCTCACACTCCATGACTCTGCCTGTTGTTTCCTTACCTGTCCTGCCTTTGCCTGCCGGGCACTTTCCTGATGTGTCTTTGCACACGTTGTTCCTCCTGCCCAGAATGCCTTTCCCTCCTCCTTATCCAGAGAACTCTTATTCACTCTTCAAGACCTGACTAAGATGTCCCCTTTTTGTTGAACACTTACCCACCTTTCCCAGGCAGAGTTAGGTGTCCTTCAAGTTTCCCCATGATGAGCCCCTCAGTTTAGCAAGCATGCATTTCATGTCTCCTGGGCAGGAGTGAGATTCAGATGAAGCAGACAGTCTCTCTCCTCATAGGCCACCCTCCAAGCCTCTATGCTCTCCCTCTTCCTTTGTTGGCTCACCAAATGCAGAGGACCTGAGGCGGGGGGCACTCTGAGCCCTTGGAGGGTGGCAAAGGTGGCAAGGCCGTTAGATGGAAGGATCCTGAGTCCTTGAGTGACTGTGTGGAACAGGATTCTCCCCACACACCATACCTGATTTTTATTAAACTGTGATGTGAGTGAGTAATCTCCAGTGTGGTAAGTGTTGAGAGCGGAGGTTATTTGTTAGAGCAAGCAGTGTATTTACTCTAATACTCCTGATGACTGTCCTGACTCCAAGACCAGACAGATTAGAGTGAGGAGTGAACTGAGAGACAGCTGAGGGCCTAGCAGCCTTGGGCCAGGAGACAAGGAGGTCAGAAGAGAATGCCCCACCAAGGGTGCTGAGGTCTTAGAAGCTTCCCCACAGCAGAGGTGACCTTGCAAGAATTACTTCCCCACAATGAGACTCTGTATCCTCATAAGCCAAATGCGGGTGAGCGTGCCTACCTTGTATGAATATTAAGAGCTTCACGAATTACATATGTAAAGTGCTTCAGAGATCATGCTGCCTTATTAATGTTTGTGTCCCTCACTCTCTATTGCATCTCTACTTAGAGGGCAAAGTAAGACAACTGGAAGAGACACAGAACAGCCTACACTTACATACCAGTTATTATATAATGGGCACTGTTCTAAGCACTTTACAAAATAAACTCATTTAATACTCAGAGCAACCCATTTTACAGACGGGGAAACTGAGGCACAGTAAAGTTAAGTCACTTAACCAAGTGGACATAGCTTTAACAAGAAGTAGAGCTGGGAATTGAACCCAGTGTGGCTTCAGAGCACATGCTCACGGCCACAATGCTATACTTCCCAGTGGGGAGATCCCTGTTGGAAAGAGACAGAGAGAGCTGCTGATACCAGGCATCTGAGAACTACCAGAGCCAAACCTGACTTCCAGCCATTCTCTGGCTTAGCAGAGTCGAGGAAAAGCCAGGCTCACTTGGTGTCTCTCTCCAAAGAAGAAAAACCAGACTAAACCTTGTGCACAGAGGTAAACCCTTCCTGGGAACTTTATTCAAGGAGAGGTACATCACGTGGTTCCTGTCCAGGAGGCCCTGAGTCATCAAGTGGACAGTGACTCCTGTTATGGTTTTGCAAAGGCCTAGACCTGCAGGAAACCATGTGACATTTGGAAGCACTTGGACACTGTTTTCTTGTAAATTCCCATGTTGGAGTTCAAACTGTGGCCTCCATTCACCAGGACCAGCCAACCTAATGCCAAGGTGTTAACAGATCCTGGCCAGGTATCCTGTTCTGTCTTGGAGAGCTGAAGTCAGGACACTCAGGATGCGGCCCTAGACAGCCCACACATTGACTGTGAGACCTAAGGGACGTCACTCACAATTCTATGCCCAGGGAGGACCCATCCTCAAGGGAGACTCCTACAGGCTGCGGGCACCTGAGACAGCCACAGCATCACCTTTATCTCTCCCTTCCCTCCAGCATGCATGGGGGCAGGTGGGGAGTGTGAGCTCTGTAAATGTGGCTGGAGGAATCCAACCAAGGTGGCAGTGCAGGGCTGGGTTCTGGAGGCTCTGATAAAAACATTTTATTAATAAAATACAGTAGTGTTCCTGGACCCCACAACTTATCCAAAGTTAGCCTTTGGGTCAGGGGTTTCCTCAGTATTGTCCTTTTGTGGTCTCCAGAAAGATGTTGCAGGAAAGGGGTCCCAATCCAGGCCCCAAGAAAGGGTTCTTGGATCTCATGCAAGAACGAGTTTGGACGAGTCCATACAGTAAAGTGAAAGCAAATTTATTAAGAAAGTAAAGGAATAAAGAATGGCTACTCCACTGACAGAGCAGCCCACCAAGGGCTGCTGGTTACCCATTTTTATAGTTATTTCTTGATGAAATGCTAAACAAAGGGTGGATTATTCATGCCTTCCCTTTTTAGACCATATAGGGTAACTTCCTGACGTTACCGTGGCATTTGTAAACTGTCATGGCGCTGGTGGGAGTGTAGCAGTGAGGACGACCAGAGGTCACTCTCATGGCCATCTTGGTTTTAGTAGGTTTTGGCCGGCTTCTTTACTGCAACCTGTTGTATCAGCAAGGTCTTTATTACCTGTATCTTGTGCCGACCTCGTATCTCATCCTGTGACTTAGAATGCCTAACCTTCTGGGAATGCAGGCCAGTAGGTTTCAGCCTAATTTTACCCAGCTCCTATTCAAGATGGAATTGCTCTGGTTCAAATGCTTCTGACAGTACTGCTTCTGTTTGCTCTTACTTCTCCCACGAACTCTATGATTTTTTTTTTCTCACATGTATCTTAACTCAGGACAAGAGAGGAATGATTATTATCCCCATTTCCCACTTGAAGAAAACTTGGTTCTGAGAGGTTAAATTGAAACCACCTTTGCAAAATTTTAACTGAGGAAATTATGAGAGTGAAAGAAATCAGACCTAACCGACTCCATCTTGCTTCTAACCTTTAAGCTGTCCTTGTTCATTCCTGGGCGTAGGCCGAACTAACTTTGGGAAGGAATTCAGCTCATGGCTTGACTCTGAAACAAAATTGATAATAGCCCTTTCCCGAAAAGACCTCCTTCTCACCTGGGGACCAGTCTGCCCGTGCAGGACTAACAAATTATCTATAAGATTAGAAATTACCGTTTAGGGAGTCATGCAGCCTCTGACTCCAACAGTCTGAACCTCCCCAAATTGCTCCTGGGGATAACATCACTATTGTAAAAGCTAAGACTAGTGCTTGAAATATTTTGCAGACCCTGCACTCGATGGATCAGCTGACACCACCCAGACTGGTAATCTGGCTCAACCAGTTCTGCCATCCCACCCAGAAACAGAAAACAGCAAGAAAAACTCACTTCGACCCCCTAGGATTCCATCTCCAATCTCACCAACCAGCACTCCCCACTTCCGAAGCCCCTACCTGCCAAATTATCTTTAAAAACTCTGACGCCGAAATGCTCAGGGAGACGGATTTGAGTAATAATAAAACCCCGGTCTCCCGCACAGCCGGCTCTGCATGAATTACTCTTTCTCCACTGCATTTCCCCTGTCTTAATAAATCGGCTGTGTCTATGCAGCGGGCAAGGTGAATCCACTGGACGGTTGCAAAATGACTTGCCCGAGGTCTCACCGCTTGGTCAGAGTCCGGCACTATTGGGCGGCTGGCGGATGCCATGGGGTTGTTGAAGGAGGGCCTTTATTTGTTCTTGGAATCCTACCCTGTTTCCCAGGCTGCGGGAGGGATAGTTGCAGCATGGTAGAATTGAAAACAGCACAGCCCTTGGGTCAGTTTCGTAACTTGTGAAGACTAAGTCAGGGTTCTGTTTGTTCAGCAACACAGCAAGAATCCCAGCTTTGTCACAGAAGGATGGGAAAAAATACAAAAAGCCTATGAGCGCCACCTAGTGATGAGTTCCGCCATCACATGTCTAATTGAGGAGTTGCGGTAATGGAGGACATTGTGCTTCCCAGGCCCCGTGAGCCACAGGGGAAAAAATACACGGCTGCGTCCTCAGGGCCAGGGGCTCAGCCCGCCAGGCTGTTCTCAGTCGCCCGCCTGCAGCTCAGAAGGCTCACAAACGATCGTTCATGGCCCGGGGCCGAGGCACCTGGCACTGTCAGGCACTCTCAGGCACGATGTGGTCAAGCTGCCTACTTGGTGGTTCCTGCCATGCCCTTCCTTCTCCTTCCTTCTTTCAGGGTCCAGAACTTCAGCTTTCACTCATTCCGCAGCCACTATGCCAGGCTCTGTGCTGAGCACTGGCCGTCTGGCCATCTGCCAAGGCTGATCCCAGGGGCAGCCATGTCCTGTGCTCCTGCGAGGGCCGCATCCCCCTCCCTGCTCCAGCTCCCTCCTCCCAGTTCCACGAGCCTAGCTATGACATTCACTTCCACCCCCGGGGATCCTCCTCGTCCTACACCCAGCCCCACCATTACCACGCCTAAATAACTTGTGCATCCCTCCCTTTCTCTCCCTCTTGCTCATTGTCCTAGTTCAAGCCACTAATATGTCTGCCCTGGACAGCTTCAAAGCCCCCCCCACTCACAGGCCTGCACCAGCTCTCCACACCGTGATCAGAGTCAACCTTTTGGAAGGGAAATATGAGCAATGGAAATTTCCTTGTTGAAACACTCCAGGGCAAGTTTCCAACTCCAGGACATGACTAAAAGGGAGGAAAATAGGGAAAATGTACAAGATGGATATATAAAGGGAATATAAGAACTAATATATATGACCGGGCGTGGTGGCTCATGCCTGTAACTCCAGCACTTTGGGAGGCCCAGGCAGGCGGATCGCGAGGTCAGGAGTTCGAGACCAGCCTGGACAACATAGGGAAACCCCGTCTCTACTAAAAATACAAAAAATTAGCTGGGCGTGGTGGCGGGCACCTGTAACCCCAGCTACTCTGGAGGCTGAGGCAGGAGAATCACTTGAACCTGGAAGGCAGAGGTTGCAGTGAGCCGAGATCATGCCATTGCACTCCAGCCCAGGTGACAGTGCGAGACTGCATCTCAAAAAAGCAAAAATGTAAAGAAGTTTTTTTTAATTTTTAAATCATAGTCTTACTATATTGCCCAGGCTGGTCTTGAACTCATGGCCTCAAAAATCCTCCCACCTCAACCTCCCAAAGTGCTAGGATTTCAGGTGTAAGCCACCACACCCAGTCATAAGGAAGCTATTTTTTTTAAGTGCCCCGTGTTTGGTACCCAGAAGATCTTTAATTCATAGCCACTAGAACTTTGCTCCTCAAGGTGTGTCTGGAGACCACAGTCTCGACCCCACCTCAGACCTCCTAAAGCAGGATCTGCTCCTGGGCCAGCATGTGCAGGGGAGCAGAGGGTGAGCTCCAAAAGAGCAGGCCCTGCCCTGTCACCTCTGTATCTGATATGGTTTGGCTGTGATCCCACCCATATCTCACCTTGAATTATAATAATCTTTACGTGTCAAGAGTGGGGACAGGTGGAGCTAACTGAATCATGGATGTGGTTTCCCCCATACTGTTCTCATGGTAGTGAATAAGTCTCATGAGATCCGGTGGTTTTATAAATGGGAGTTCCCCTGCACACGCTCTCTTGCCTGTCGCCATGTAAGTCATGCCTTTGCTTCTCCTTTGCCTTCCACCATGATTGTGAGGCCTTCCCAGCTATGTGGAACTGTGAGTCTATTAAATCTCTTTCCTTTATAAATTACCCAGTCTCAGGTATGTCTTTATTAGCAGTGTGAAAACAAACTAATACAGGCCAGGCACGGTGGCTCACGCCTGTAATCCCAGCACTTTGGGAGGCCGAGGCGGGTGGGTCATGAGGTCAGGAGATTGAGACCGTGCTGGCTAACACAGTGAAACCCCGTCTCTAATAAAAATACAAAAAAATTAGCTGGGCATGGCAGCGTGTGCCTATAGTCCCAGCTGCTGGGGAGGCTGAGGCAGTAGAATGGCATGAACCCGGGAGGTGGAGCTTGCAGTCAGCCAAGATCACGCCACTGCGCTCCAGCCTGGGTGACAGAGCAAGACTCTGTCTCAAAAAAAAAAAAAAAAAAAAAAAGACGAATACAGTATCCCACCCCAGCCCTCACCTGGCTCGCAGGGAATGCATGAGAAAGAACAGAGGAAAGAAGGTACATATGGCAGGGCCTGTCCCAACCATGCCTCTTCTAGGCTGGTCCCTGTGCACCCCAGCGATGTAGAACCACCCTGTCTGGCAGACTCAGTGGGTTTGTTGTGCAGACATTATAACCTTGACGTCATTGTGTGCAGGGCAGACAATCTCCACATAACCTGGAGCAGCTGCAAACACACTGAGAAGCCACCAGTTTGTTACGAAAGCTTTCTCATTAAGAAGGCAAGAATAAAAAGCACTGTCATTTCTCCTTTCCAGAAACCAAGGAAGTGCCTCACCCCTTCTCCCCATCACTCCCTGCCAAGTACTCCTTTTCACCCTCTTGGGTCCTTTCTCTGCATTACTTATGTCTGGTAGTAAGGGGAGGAGGGCTCTCTTCACAGTTAAAAGTATACAAAGTCTTGGCCGGACATGGTGGCTCACGCCTGTAATCCCAGCACTTTGGGAGGCCGAGGCAGGTGGATCACAAGGTCAGGAGACTGAGATCATCCTGGCTAACTTGGTGAAACCCCGTCTCTACTAAAAAAAAATACAAAAAATTAGCCAGGTGTGGTGGCGGGCACCTGTAGTCCCAGCTACTCGGGACGCTGAGGCAGGAGAATGGCGTGAACCTGAGAGGCGGAGCTTGCAGTGAGCTGAGATCACACCACTGCACTCCAGCCTGGGCGACAGAGCAAGACTCCGAAAAAAAAGACTCTCAAAAAAAAAAAAAAAGATACAAAGTATTTAATGACAGTTGTCTAAGACTAGGAGATGGGAGGGTATGGCAGTTGAATGGGGTGTGTGGTCTCCACCACATAGTTTGCTGTGTAACCCTGCAAGCCACTTGCCCTCTCTGGGCCTTGTTTAACTCTGTGGCAAAATGAAAGCAGGCAAGGATGGGCAGCTCTTCTTCCTCTCAAAGGTCCTGATTTCGAGGAGCCAGGCCCTGGATCTGTTCTTCGGCTAGAAACAGGCATTGTGGTCAGATGTGCATTTCAAATGTGAATCCACCCCTCACCAGCTGGGCAATCCTACCAGTGATACACCTTCCCCTCTCTGCATCTCAATTTCCTCTTCTCAGCCGGGCGCGGTGGCTCACACCCATAATCCCAGCACTTTGGGAGGCTGAGGTGGGTAGATTACTTGAGGTCAGGAGTTTGAGACCAGCCTGGCTAACATGGTGAAACTCTACTTCTACTAAAAATACAAAAAAATTAGCCGGGCATGGCAGCAGGCACCTGTAATCCCAGCTACTCAGGAGACTGAGGCAGAGAGAATTGCTTGAACCCAGGAGACGAAGGTTGCAGTGAGCTGAGATGGCACCACTGTACTCCAGCCTGGGCAATAGAGAAAGATTTTGTCTCAGGAAAAAAAAAAAATCAATTTCCTCTTCTAAATTGGGTTTTAACAGCGCCTACATCTTAGGGTGGTTGGGAGGTCTGTATGTGCCCTTTTACAAGCAGTGCCTCCATCATAGGAGCCTGGAGTTTGTTTCTCTTCTCCTTAGTTTCCTAAAATGAACACTAAAGTTAGCTTTGAAAATCAATCCCAAAGGCCGGGCGTGGTAGCTCACGCCTATAATCCCAGCACTTTAGGAGGCCGAGGCGGATGGTCGGAAGTTCGAGACCAGCCTGACCAACGTGGAGAAACCCGGTCTCTACTAAAAATACAAAATTAGCCAGGTGTGGTGGCACATGCCTGTAATCCCAGCTACTCGGGAGGCTGAGGCGGAAGAATCGCTTGAACCCGGGAGGCGGAGGTTGCGGTGAGCCAAGATCACACCATTGCACTCTAGCCTGGGCAACAAGAGCGAAACTCCATCTCAAAAGAAAAAGAAAAGAAAAGGAAAGAAATCCCCAAAAGCTCTTCGGGTTGGGGGAGGGGTGCAAAGCCCAGCATCAACTCATGGAAGACCAGAGTCCCAAGGTGCATTAACAATCTCCAAACCTCCCCATCATGGCCCAGTGACCGTCAGGCCAGTCTGTTGGGCTGATTTGAACGTCATCCCTTACAGGTGAGCTGCATTAGCCACAGTCTCCCTGAATCACCACCCAGCTGGCTGCCAGCATCGTCAGAATGGGTGAGGGTGGGGAAGAATGAAGGGGCGGAAGGGGTGGGAAACTACCCATATTTAGAGATCTACCATGGGCTGGGTCCTTCTCAACAATTCCATGAAGTAGATTCAATTTCCTCATTTAATAGAAGAAGGACCCAAGGCTCAGAGAGGGGCAGAGTCTCGCCCAAGTTCTCCCAGCTAGTTCAAGGTGGAGTTGGGGGGTCAGATCCAAGTCCAGTCCGAAGGCTCAGCTTCTCTTCCCTGGCAGTAAGCACACTTGTTGTCCTGCATTCACTCACCCCAGTGTTCAAGCCTGGGGCAGCTCTGATGAGCAGGCAGGAAGGGCTTTGCTCTGCTCTTCCCTGGACCCACTGGGGCAGGCACGGGCTACCAGAGGGAAGGATGGGGGTCATCAATCACATGTTCGTGCACACACACACAGCATGTTCACCATTTGATCTTGTCCAAGTAACCTCTGTGTTACAGAAAACCCCAGGAGCATTCTAGTTTCTAACATTTTTCTTCCAGGTGCCTACTACTTAGCCCATGACTGATGATGCAGTAACCTCAGCTTCTTCCTGGTCTCCCAGCTCAATGCTGGAGGTCTGTCTCCCTCTCTTCTCACAAAGCCCTCATCAGAGTTCTTCAGGGACCTCACACCCTCCACAGGAAACAGGCCAAGCACCTTAACCGGAGAGCTTCTGTGACCTGGCCCCTGCCACCTCTCTAGCCCCTCTCCCACCTCCCTTTTCTCCCCCTCAGACTGCAACCACCCTTAGCCACCACCTGTGGCTTCTCTCCCTCTTTCCTGCTTGCACAGAAGCCTCTGCTGCCTATGCCAGCCCTGCCCCACCCCACCCCTCTGTGGGATCTCCCTGGGCTTCCACCAATGCCCTGCCACACCCAAGGCTCCTCCTGCCCTGTGGTGCAACCCTCGCACCTTGCCCAGTGATCAGTCAGAGCACTTCCCACACTGTGGAGGGGCAGGGCTGGTCTTACTCACTGGGTCCCCGGTGCCCAGCCAAGACCTAAGGGTCTCTGGATGTTTGTTCAAAGATGAACGAGCAAACGAATGAATGAATGAATAGGGAAGTAGGAATGGAATAATTCCATTATTCCAACTGTAGGGGTAGATAAGTGGGGGCGCAAGGCAGCTAAATGTCTGTCTCTTGGAATCCTGGCTAAAGCCAAAGATGGCAGAACCCAGGCTTCCTAGTTTCTGTCCCAGGTGGTCAGCCCAGTGTCTTCATCCGGTCCTCTCAAGAAGGCAGTGGAGCTGGGTGCTCTTTGACTTGCTGCTTTGTGCTGCCACCTTGTGGCCTCACAGGGAGAGCTTTCGTTTTTAACCCCAAGAGCTCAATGACTTAAAAGACTTGGTGAAATCCGTCTGAATTGATTTAATCCTAGTAAACTTATCTTCCTATTCCACTAATAAAAGATATACTCAAGTAACAAACAGTGAGAGGTCACCAGTGTCTTCACAATGAGCTATAATTCCAACCAAAGCTACAATCCCTGTTGCTTGCAATAGCCCATGACTCTATCCGTGGCCATGACTTACGTCTTTTGTAACTGAAGAAATACTCAGGAACCCCACTCCACCCCTCCTCGTTCATGGAGGGATCAGTCCAGGTACCTACTTTGTGCCAGACTCTACTTGGACTGGAATCCATGGTGAGCAAAACAGAGCCGTCCTTAGCCTCCAGGAGCTTAGAGTCTGGAGCCAGAGATGGGGCTTTTTTTTTTTTTTTTTGAGACAGTGTCTCTGTTGCCCAGGTGGAAGTACAGTGGTGCAATCATGGCTCACTGCAGCCTAAGCCTCCCGGGCTCGTTCTCCCATCTCAGCCTGATAGCTGAGACTATCAGCTATCCCTGATAGCTGGGACTACAGACAGACACCACCACACACCTAACTAATTATTTGCATTTTTTTTTTTGTACAGATAAGGTTTCACCATGTTGCCCAGGCAGGTCTCAAACTCCTGGGCTCAAGTGATCCACCCACCTCAACCTCCCAAAGTATTGGGATTACAGGTGTGCGCCACTGTGCCTGGCCAAGATGGGTCTTATTCAAATAATCATATAAATATATAATTTCAAACAGATAAATTCAATGAAGAAACTGTAAGTGGGGCCTGAATTAGTCCATTTTACACTGTTGATAAAGACGTACCGAAGACTGAGTAATTTATAAAGAAAAAGGTTTAATGGACTCACAGTTGCACATGGCTGAGAAAGCGTCACAATCATGGGAGAAGGTGAAAGGCATGTCTTACAGGGCAGCAGGCAAGAAAGAGAGAGAGGGCAGACAAACCCAAGGAGGAAGAGCCCCTTATAAAACCATCAGATCTTGAGAGAACTCACTCAGTATCATGAGAACAGCATGAGGGCATCTGCCCCCATGATCCAATTATCTGCCACTGGGTCCCTCCCACAACATGTGGAAATTATGGGAGCCACAGTTCAAGATGAGATTTGGGTGGGGATAGAGCCAAACCATATTATTCCACTCCTGGCTCCTCCCAGATATCATGTCCTCACATTTCAAAACCAATCATGCCTTCCCAACAGTCCCCCAAAGTTTTAACTCATTTCAGGATTAACTCAAAAGTCCATAGTCAAAAGTCTCACCTGAGACAAGGCAAGTCCCTTCCTCCTATCCTATGAGCCTGTAAAATCAAAATCAAGTTAGTAACTTCCTAGACACAATGGGGGTACAGGCATTGGATAAATATACCCATTCCAAATGGGAGAAATTGGCCAGAATGAAGGGGCTAAAGGTCCCATGCAAGTCCAAAATCCAGCAGGGCAGTCAAATCTTAAAGCTCCAAAATGATCTCCTTTCACTCCATGTCTCACAGCCGGGTCATGCTGACACAAGAGGTGGGTTCCCATGGTCTTGGGCAGCCCTGCCTCTGTGGCTTTGCAGGGTATAGCCTCCCTCCTGACTGCTTTCATGGGCTGGTGTTGAGTGTCTGCAGCTTTTCCCGGTGCATGGTGCAAGCTGTTGGTGATCTATCATTCTGGGGTCTGGAGGATAGTGGTTCTCTTCTCACAGCTCCACTAGGCAGGGCCCCAGTAGGGACTCTGTGCCAGGGGGCCACTGAGAACCACTGCCCCAGCAGAGGTTCTCCATGAGGGCCCCACACCTGCAGAAAATTTTTGCCTGAACATCCAGGTGTTTCCATACATCCTCTGAATTCTAGGCAGAGGTTCCCAAACCTCAGTTCTTGACTTCTGTGCACCTGCAGGCTCAACACCACATGAAAGCTGCCAAGGCTTGGGGCTTGCATTCTCTGAAGCCACAGCCTGAGCTGTGCCTTGGTCCCTGTTAGCCATGGCTAGAGCAGCTGATATGCAGGGAACCAAGTTCCTAGACTGCACACAGCAGTGGGGCATTGGGCGTGGCCCAGGAAACCATTTTTTCCTCTTAGGCTTCTCAGCCTGTGATGGGAGGGGCTGCCGCAAAGGTTTCTAACATGCCCTGGAGACATTTTCCCCATTGTCTTGGCGATTAACATTTGGGTCCTCGTAACTTATGCAAATTTCTGCAGCCAGTTTGAATTTCTTCTCAGAAAATGGGTTTTTCTTTTCTATTGTATTATCAAGCTGCAAATTTTCTGAACTTTTATGCTCTACTTCATTTTAAAACTGAATGCTTTTAACAGCACCCAAGTCACCTCTTGAATGCTTTGCTGCTTAGAAATTTTTTCCACCAGATACATTAAATCATTTCCTTCAAGTTCAAAGTTCCACAAATCTCTAAGGCAGGGGCAAAATGCCACCAGTCTGTTTACTAAAATATAGCAAGAGCCACCTTTACTCCAGTTCCCAACAAGTTCCTCATCTCCATCTGAGACTACCTCAGCCTGGATTTCATTGTCCATATTATTATTAGCATTTTTGTCAAAGCCATTCAACAAGTCTCTAGGAAGTTCCAAACTTTCCCACATTTTCCTGTCTTCTTCTGAGCCCTGCAAACTGTTCCAACTTCTGCCTGTTACCCAGTTCCAAAGTTGCTTCCACATTTTTGGGTATCTTTACAGAGCACCCACCTACCTGGTACCAATTTAGTGTATTAGTCCAGTTTCATGCTGCTGATAAAGACGTACCTGAGACTGGGTAATTTATAAAGAAAAAGAGGTTTAAATGGACTCACAGTTCCATGTGGCTAGAGAGGCCTCACAATTATGGCAGAAGGTGAAAGGCATGACTTACATGGTGGCAGGTGAGAGAGAAAGAGAGAGAAGGCAGATGAGCGAAGGGGGAAGAGCCCCTTATTAAACCATCAGATCTCTTGAGAACTCACTCATTATCATGATAACAGCATGGAGGAAACTGTCCCCATGATCCAAGTACCTCCCACAACATGTGGTAATTATGGGAGCTAGAATTCGAGATGAGATTTGAGTGGGGACACAGCCCAACCATATCAGGGCCTCAAAAGCAAATAACAGGGGCCAGTTCTAATGTGGGCAATGTCAGGAAAGGCTTCCTTGAGGAAGTAACTTTTGAGCTGAGTTCTGAAGAATGTCTAAATGAGAGAGAAAATGGTATGTACAAAGACCTTGAGACTGAAGGAATCTGAACTGTTCGAGATATTGAAAGAAGATCAGATGGCTGGAGCATGGAGAGAAAGGGAAGGGGCAAGTGGAATCTGGCCACGTTGGTGGGGCAGGAGCCAGACCATTTGGGGGCTCATAGGCCAGGTCTGTCTAAGAGCAATGGGAAACCAGGGCTTTAGACAGAGGGTTGGCATCAGATGCTTTATTTTAAAAGACCACTCGGTGCCACATGGAGGATGAATTGGAGTGGGCACGATGGCTTCAGGGAGACCTGTGAGGAGAGTGCTTCCTTTAAGTGAGAAGAAGAAAGTTCTCGATATAGTAAGGAAAGAAAAAAAGTATGCTGATGCTGCTAAAATCTTTGTTAAGAACAAATCTATCCATGAAACTAGGAAGAAAGGAAGAGAAATTTGTGGTAGTTTTGCCGTCACACCTTAAATTGCAAAAGATAAGCTACAGTGCATGGTAAGTGCTTAGTTAAGATGAAAAATACATTAAATTTGTGGATGGAAGATATGAACAGAAATGTGTTCCCACTGAAGGCAATTTGTTGTATCAGAAAGCATGGTCTATACAAAGACTTCAGCAAGTGATCTCCTGAAACAAGTGACGCCAGGCCATTTACTGCAAGTAAGGGACAATTACACAGATTCAGGAATGGGTTGGACTGAGAAATATAAAAATTACTGGAGAGGCTGCATCTGCTGATGAAGAAGCTGCTGCCACATTTCCAGCAGAGTTCAAGAAGCTGATTAAGGCGAAAGCACACCATTCAAAGCAAGTCTTCAACCATGGTGAAACTGGGCTCTTCTGGAAGAAGATGCCCAATAGTCTCTCCTTGTCAACTGTCACTGACATGGGGGTTCCTCAGTCTGTGGCAATAGCATCCCAGCCTTAAGACCACTATGAGGTGGGCATTATCACTAAGGCCACTCTGGCCAAGAAGCAAGACAAGTGGGCTGAGCAGATACAAGCTGGTACTTAAACTGGGTCTACAGCAATGTCTGCCCTTCCCTTGAGAACCTGAGTGCTCCTTAAGGGCAGGGATCCTGGCTTAGTCCTTGCCTATCCCTAGTGCTCAACACAGAGCCTGGTGCCATATGGGTGCCATGAATGCTTAGGGATATGGTAGACATTTGTCACTTTGGTTGCTGTATAGTATAGATAAAATATGTTTGTATTTCTGTACAGTTAGGGCTTTCTGAGCAAATTTTCCTGAAACATGGGACCCACAAGAGCAAATCTTAAAATTATTTGCAATTGTATAGATAGTGAGAGAACTCTGAAGGCATTTACCTAATTCTGGAGGAATGTGTTTACATTTCAAGGAAGAATGGAGACTCAGTTTACCTAGCTCCTAGAAAGGCTGACTTTCATGCCAAAGTGTTGTGATAAGGACTCAAGCCCTGTGGTTTCTGAGGAGACCCTTCCAGGAGTGGCAAGTGACAGCTCCTTCCCTTTTATAAGCAGAGAAAATTCTTTTTAAGTTCATTCCTCTCCTAGGATACAACTTTTTATGTGTAGGAGATTTTTCTGACTGTCATTGTGTCATCTCTGTGGTAAGAATTAGGATGGAGGGAGCCAAGTGATCCTTCTTTGCTTTTTAAGTGACTAATGGTAATCCCTCTCATCTAAATTGCCTTGTGCATTCAGTATGAAATTAAGGAAGATGAATATTAAAAATCCAATAGCTGCTCAGCATCTGGATAACCTTCCTATTGTAAAAGTAAGTAATTCAAAGTCAAAGCTGTTGGAATTTTATTTTGAGCCTTAAAGGAATGTTATTATGGGGCCTGAGTCATGTGACAGGAAGCTGTAACTTAGGAAGCTGTAACCTAGACAGCTATAACCTTTGTTCTTCTGTTGCAGATTAGCCTTTTCTTTGCCTACCTTGTGTTGTAAAAAGTTATTTAAAAAAAAAAAAAAGTGCTTCAGAGAAGACCCTTTCCTCTTCACTGTTGATCTTCATTATAGATGAATTTCCCTTTGACTTCTCTTACACAAAGATCTCACAACTATCACATTGTCTAAATGGGGTGTTAAAGATACTCATTTAAATTGTAAAATCAAAAGAAAACAAACTATCACTAATCATATGTTTCTGTAACCCATAAACCAGGCTTGTATGAAAAATGTTGTATACCTGTTAATTTCTTTGTTTTCTGCCTATCTAAATAAGACCCCCACTTTTCAGCTTAGGGACACTGGCCCCATTCCATTTAGAGTCTGTGTTTCCCAGATGGTCATCCTCAGCTTTGCGCTTGAATTAACTCTTTTAAACTAGATTCTGATCCTTTTGATTATTTCTCTATGACATTCTGATGATTCAGATGGGACCCAAGGTGGTCTCTTTCCATTGACTCCTGCTGCTTCACAGACAGATTGGGGCCCTGGTACCTGCACACACTGTTCCTATCCAACCAACTTTTGCTGAAGTTTGCAAAAGTTCTTGGCAAAGCCCCCCGTGGGTTTCGATTCTCCCCGGCTTAGGTGAATTCAGATTTTATTCAAGTGACCTGATTGCATGCTTGATGGGGATGGAATTGAAAGCTCGACTTTAAAGCTTTAAGGTATGGGTTCTCTTTGCTACCTATTTAGAGATTCTGTTGCAGGCAGGTTTGTGGTTTTACTCTTCCTTGAAGTTAAAGTTTTGTCTGTCTTACTTGCTAAAATTTGTGATATGGTTTGCCTCTGTGTTCTCTCCCAAATCTCATCTTGCATTGTAATAATCCCCATGTGTCAAGTGTGGGACCAGATGGAGATAACTGAATCATGGGGACTGGTTTCCCCCATGCTGTTCTCATGATAGTGAGTGAATTCTCACGAGATCTGATGGTTTTATAAAAGGTAGTCTTTCCCGTGCTCTCACACTCTCTCCTGCCACCTAGTGAAGAAGGTGTCTGCTTCCCCTTCCGCCATGATTTTAAGTTTCCTGAGGCCTCCTCAGCCATGCAGAACTGTGAGTCAATTAAACTTCTTTTCTTTATAAATTAAACAGTCTCAGGTATTTCTTCATAGCGATGTGAGAACAAACTAATACAATTTATGAACTTTTCTCTCATTTGAAATTTGGTTAAAGAGAAAGCAGTTGCTCTTTAACAGGAAGTAAATGTCTGTGGCTTAAGCAAAATTGTGATGTTAAGCTGGCTAGATTTTGAAGGTCAGCTGAAATTGCCACATTTAGATTCTTCTTTCATAAAAAGAAAGAATAGAAAAATTTATAGAAGAAGTTTATGAGGACATGATAAGTCACAAATATGAGAGACACAGATCCTTCTGGCCAAAAGACACCTTAGGTGACTAAGGTCTCATAGGAGTGTCAGAGTTTATTGCTTATGATGAGAAATGGTCCCATAAGGAGTCCCCAAAGAAGAACATGCAGAGAAATTTGCTTAAATTGATGGGCATACATAAGGGGCTGATCTCCCAGTGCTTTAAATGCCCAGAATTCCGGGGTTTTACCAAGGCACGTAAGAGGGAAGAACCAACCCAAGGGTGACCCCTGGGGGAAGCCATTCCCATAAGCAGTACACATGATTAAAAATATCTTTCCCTTTCAACCTTTGGTCCCTTAAGAGGAGAATACAAATAGCAGGCAATCTGCCATCTAATACCAAGTGTTCCTTAAGGAGAGATGCGCCTTTAGAAACTCCAGCTAGACTCGTGATCCATACTTATGGCACCATCTCTTGCCCTTATTTAGGAAAATGGAATACCTTTGAAATGCTTAAACTAATGTATTTGCATGCTCAATTAGAAAAAGCTGGCTCTAGGATAAAATAGAATAATTGGGAGAGTTATTTCCAGTAGTATTTGAAGGTGTCTAAAAGAGACTCTGATAAAGTTATTTCTTTGCAGGAAGAAAAAAGATTGTCAAACAATTTCTGAATTTTAAAAGGCTGCTGAATCTTCTTCTCCCTCAGAAGCTTCTCCTTGACCTGCCTTTCCTTCCTCTTTAACCTTCTTTTCCTTCTTCCTCCTCCTCTGGCCCCTGCTGTTCTGGCTCTGTTCAGCAAGCAGCCAGTGTCTGGTAGGGGAGAACCTGCCTTAGCTTAATAACCATGATCAAAGACAGAACTTAAAGGCATAATTAAGGAACTTCCTGACCCCATCAGGACCCTACTGGTTTTGTCGGGAATTTGAACTACATATTCGAGCTTATGACCCTGGTTTTCTGATTGATATCAACTAGTTCACATGTTAGTTTCAGAAAGTAAGGCTAAAGATTGGCTAGATAAAGCCCACTGGAGAAACCCCCTAGAGGATTTCTATCACTGTTCACAAGAAGACTGCAGGAATGCCTGTGAAACTGCAAGGGCTCTGCATGCAGCCATTCCTTTCATCTTCCAAAAGGTAGTCAACTGAAATAAAATACAACAATGTCAGCAAAACCCGATGAGTCAGTAATGTCATGCTTTGAAAGATTTGAAAAGACTTTTAGACACTAGTCAGGCTTATTTGAGGCAAGTTATGTTAATCATCAAAATAATACTCTCCTCAATTCCAACTTTATAAAAGGGCTCAATAAAGTATTAGCACTAATAGTAAAGGGATAATGCCCTAGTTGGGGCATTTCTCAAACTCACAATTTGGTTAACCCTGCTGACCAGTTGTCTTGTACTTTAACTAAAGAAGAAAAAAACCTAAATTATCCACACAGTCTAGACTGACAAAATATCCCAACAAATCTCTGAACAGATCTAACCTTCCAAATGCAATTACTGCAAAAAAAAAAAAACTGGCCACTTAAAATAAAAAAAGATGCTGAAAACTGAAACAGGAGGAACAACAACAGCAAAGGAGGAAAATAGGGGTGCTCCAAGGAACTTAAAGGGACCTTTTATTTTTCCTTACTGGCACTCTGGAAGAAATAGAAACTATTTTAAATGGAGAACAATCCCAAGCCCTCACTGACACTAGAGCAACTTTATTTGTAATAAATCCACCTTATTACAAAGTCCCATTCTTTGAAGTAAAAACTTGGTCCAAATAGTGGCTGTCACAAATACTCCTGTATCAGCATACAAGTCTCAACCTGTAACTTTTCAACTAGGTCTCTTACAAGGAAATTCATGTTTTCCTTTTGGTTTCATCAGCCCCCATTAATCGGATAGAAAGAGACTCCTGGCAGGGTGCAGTTGTTCACGCCTGTAATCTCAGCACTTTGGGAGGCCGAAGCGGGCAGATCACTTGAGGTCAGGGGTTCAAGACCAGCCTGGCCAACATATTGAAACCCCATCTCTCCTAAAAATACAAAAGTTAGCTGGGCGTGGTGGCAGGTGCCTGTAATCTCAGCTACTCAGGTGGTTGAGGCAGGAGAATCACTTGAACCTGGGAGGCAGAGGCTGCAGTAAGCTGAGATCACACCACTGCACTCCAGCCTGGGCGATAGAATGAAAGAAAGAGGAAGGAAGGAAGGAAGGAAGGAAGGAAGGAAAGAGGGAAGGAGGGAAGGAGGGAAGGAAGGAAGGAAGGAAGGTCCTTAGATCTATACAATACCCATATTTCTTTTGAAAGAAAAGAAAAGAAAGAAAGAGAAAGAAGGATAAAGAAAGACAGAGAAAGGAGGATAAAGAGGAGGCTGGGTGCGGTGGCTCATGCCTGTAATCCCAGCACTTTGGGAAGCCAAGGCGGGTGGATCACGAGGTCAGGAGATTGAGACCATCCTGGCTAACATGGTGAAACCCCGTCTCTACTAAAAATACAAAAAGAAATTAGCCGGGTGTGGTGGCGGTACAGCCTGGGCGACAGAGCAAGACTCTGTCTCAAAAAAAAAAAAAAAAAAAAGAAAGAAGGATAAAGAAAGAGAAAGAAAAGAAAGAAAGAAAGAAAGAAAGAAAGAAAGAAAGAAAGAAAGAACTCCTTAGATCTATACAATACCCATATTTCTTTCTCCTGGAAGGGGAAATGTATTTAGAATTAAATGCTATAGATGATAAAACAGAATTAACAGAGCAAATTTTTCAAAATCTAATCCAATTGCTACCCACCTTGCCATTGAGAACACTGAATTTTTTCTTTTTTCTTTTTTTTTTTTTTTTTTTTTTGAGACCCAGTCTCCCTCTGTTGCCCAGGCTGGAGTACAGTGGTGCAATCTGGGCTCACTGCAAGCTCTGCCTCCTGGGTTCACGCCATTCTTCTGCCTCAGCCTCCTGAGTAGCTGGGACTACAGGCACCCGCCACCACACCCAGCTAATTTTTTGTATTTTTAGTAGAGACGGGGTTTCACCGTGTTAGCCAGGATGGTCTTGATCTCCTGACCTCATGATCCTCCCACCTCAGCCTGAGGACACTGAATTATTAAGCAATGAAGAATCACAAAACTTTAACTAAAGGTAGTACCTGATCAATTATAGTCAAAGTCCTCCACTGATATAGGAACTATTTTTTCAGCTACTCCAATAAAAATTCAAATAGAGTCATCAAAATCACTTCCAAATATCCAACAATATTCCTTGAGAACTGAAGCCCTAGAAGGAACAAAACCTATAATGTGAGATTATATAGAAAAAGGATTGATCATTTCTTGCACAAGCCCTTGTAATATACCAACCCTTCAGGTAAGAAAACCAAATGGGGCCAGGTGCAGTGGCTCAGGCAATTCCAGCACTTTGGGAGGCTGAGTGGCTCAGGCAATTCCAGCACGTTGGTAGGCTGAGGCAGAAGGATCTCCTGAGCTCAGGAGTTTGAAACTAGCCTGGGCAACATGGCAAAACCCCATCTCAAAAAAAAAAAAAGAAAGAAAAGAAAGAAAGAAAGAAAACCAAATGGTAAAGAAGAAAGGTTTGTACAGGATTTAAGAACAGTAAACAACAGAGTAATTCCACAGAATGCAGTAGTGCCTAATCCTCATACATTTCTCACAACTATTCCATCCAGTGCAGGATTTTTTTTTTTTTACAGTCATAGACTTATGCAGTGCATTCTTTACATTCTTGTAGATAAAGACAGTTCATTTCTCTTTGCCTTCACTTGGGAAAACAAACAATACACTTGGACAGTCATGCCCCAAAGATATGCTGAAAGCCCAACTTACTTTCCACAAATATTAAAAACAGACCTCCTCAGATGTTGACTTCATAGAGAAGTCTGTCTTTTTTCTTTTTTCTTTTTTTTTTTTTTTTTGAGACAGAGTCTCACTCTATAACCCAAGCTGGAGGGCAGTGGTGTGATCTCGGCTCACTACAACCTCTGCCCCCCAGGTTCAAATGATTCCCATGCCTCAGCCTCCCAAGTAGCTGGGATTACAGGCATGGACCACCATGCCCAGCTAATTTTTGTATTTTTAGTAGAGATGGGGTTTCTTTAGTACAGAAGAAACCCCATCTCTACTAAAGGCCAGGCTGGTCTCAAACTCCTGGCCTCAAGTGATCCACCTGCCTTGGCCTCCCAAAGTGCTGGGATTACAGGCATGAGCCACCACGCCCAGCTGAGAAGTCTGTCTTCATATAATACATAGATAATTTACTTCTTTGCTCAGAGAACAAACAAGCTTCCACAGCAAATGGAATATACCTGTTAGAACAATTGGCCCTAAATGGTCATAAGATTTCTGATATGGTTTGGCTCTGTGTCCCCACCCAAATCTCACCTTGTAGCTCCCATAATTCCCACGTGTTGTGGCAGGGACCCAGTGGGAGATAACTGAATCATGAGGGTAGGTCATTTCCATGCTGTTCTCGTGGTAGTGAATAAGTCTCATGAGATCTCATGGTTTTAAAAACAAAAGTGTCCCTGCACAAGCTCTCTCTTCTTGCCTGCTGCCATCCGTGTAAGACGTGACTTGCTCCTCCTTGCCTTCCACCATGATTGTGAGGCCTCCCCAGTCATGTGAAACTCTAAGTCCCTTAAACCTCTTTCTTTTGTAAATTGCCTAGTCTCAGGAATGTCCTTATCAGCAGCACGAAGACGACTAATACAATCCTAAAGAAAAGCTTCCATTTTGTCAAAAACAAATGAAGTACCGAGGCTACCTAATATCCAAGGAAGGATTTTCTATTATTCCAGTCAGATTTAAAGGAATTTTAGCTTTTCCTCCATCAAGTACCAAGAAACTGTTAAGAGGGTTTTGGAGACTGAAAGGATATTATAGAAATTAGATTCCAAACTTTTCTTCAAAAGCCCAGCCCTTATATGCAGTCTTAAAATAGGATATACCAGACCCTCTAGACTGGACAGAAGAAAATCAGCTAATGTTATAAATGATCAAAAATGATCTTGTGGGCTGGGTGTGGTGGTTCACACTTGTAATCCCAGCACTTTGAGAGGCCAAGGCAGGTGGATCACTTGAGGTCAGGAGTTTGAGACCAGCCTGGTCAACATGGTGAAACCTCATCTCTACTAAAACCACAAAAAATTAGCCAGGCGTGGTGGTGCATGCCTGTAATCCTAGCTACTCAGGAAGTTGAAGCAGGAGAATCTCTTGAACCTGGGAGGTGGATGTTGCAGTGAGCCGAGATCACATGACTGCACTCCAGCCTGGGCAACAGAGCAAGACTCCATCTCAAAAAAAAAAAAAAAGATCTTGTTAATGCCCAGGCTTGAGCCATCCAAATTATAACCTTCCATTTTCCTTATTTGTACATAAAAGTGATGGAAATGTTTTAGCGGTCCTAACTCAAAAAGAGAGATCAAAATAGACCCATAGAGTATTATAGCCAACAATTAGACCCTGTAGCAAGAGGATTGCCACCTTGTATGACAGCCATAACAGCCACTGCTGTGTTAATTAAGACAACTGAAGAAATTGTAACGGAAACATCTCTTACTATCTTTGTCCCTCATTTTGTTGCAGCATTGCTGAATTCATATCATACTCAACATTACTTGGTTAGCCGACTGGCTTCATATGAGGTCCTGCTTCTGTCAGCCTCTCATATCACCATCTCTAGGTGTAACGATTTAAAACCTGCAACACTTTTGCCTTCATTTTCAGATGAAATGCCACATGACTGCCTAAACACAACTGATCAATTTCTTTCTCTCAGGTGAGAACTATAAGACACTCCCACTTATAAATGCTGTAGTAAAATGCAGATAGATTTTACTTGAAGGATGAATCTGGAATCTCCTGTGCATATTACACTATGGTGTCTGAAGAAATGGAAAGTGCCTATCTTCTGGAAGCCACCTCGGCTCAACAAGCAGAATTAATAGCATTAATTAGGGCCTGCCCGTTGGCAAAAGAAATATCCACTAATATTTATACAAACAGTAGGTATGCTTTTAGAGTAGCCCATGATTTTGAAATGTTATAGAAACAAAAAGGGATCTTAACCTCTCTGGATCAATGCATAAAAAATGGACATCTTATTTCACAACTACTAGAAGCCATATTATTACCACAGTCACTGGCCACTAGTAAAATTCCAGGTAATTCCAGATCAGATACTCCAGAAAGCAGAGGAAATCAGCTAGCTGATGAAGTAACAAAGAGAACTGCTCCAAACATGTCCAAACAAAGAAACAAACAAAAAACAACCTATATTAACTTTTAAGGACACACTTGAATTTGACAAAAAATTAGCTCAAGTCAGAACCCCAAAATCAAAACAAAAAGGCTGTGAAACAGAAGAGGAAATATACTCCCCAAAACATGAGGTATGGTATGGGCCAAATGACTTGCCCATACTTCCAGCTGAATTTTATATATATATATATATACACACATATATATGCACACACATATATATACACACACACATATATATATACACACACATATATGTGTGTGTATATATATATATATATATTTTTTTTTTTTTTGAGACAGAATTTCACTCTTTGTTGCCCAGGCTGGAGTGCAGTAGCACAATCTCGGCTCACTGCGACCTCAGCCTCCTGGGTTCAAGCAATTCTCCTGTCTCAGCCTCCCAAGTAACTGGGATTACAGGCGCCTGCTACTACCCCTGGCTAATTTTTGTATTTTTAGTAGAGATGGGGTTTCACCATGTTGGCCAGGCTGGTCTCAATGACCTCAGGTGATCCGCATGCCTCAGCCTCCCAAAGTGCTGGGATTACAGGCATGAGCCACCACGCCTGGCCAAATTACAGTTATTTTTAACATGGGTATATGATCTAACTCGCTAGAGTCCTGACAGAATGGTTGCTTGGGGAAAACAATATTATTGAAAGCCTTCTCTGACTATAGCTCATAAGACATACAACTCTTGTCATATTTGCACAAGGTATAGTCAGGGAAAACCATTACATGGCTCCCAAAGACACTTTCCTTTAGCTAAGGCTCCCTTTGAAATATGGCAACTGGATTTTATCTGGCAGCCACCTTCACAGAGCTACAGATATGTCCTGGTAATGATCTGCATGTTTTCTCATTGAGTTATTTCCATGCAAAAGAGCAACGGCTTTAGCAGTAAGTAAAATTCTCTTTAAAAAGATTATTCCAAGCTGGAGTTTCCTCTGGGACTTCACAGCAACAGAGACACTCACTTCACTGGACAGATAATTCAATCAGTATGTAGAATCTGGCCTATTCTTCAACATTTCCATTGTGCTTATCACCCCAGCTATCTGCATTAGTGGAACACACAAATGAAATAATAAAAACCCAGTTAAAAAAATTAATCAAGGCTTTTAAAATTCTTTGGCTGATACAGTTTTGATATTTGTTCCCTCCAAATCTCATGTTGAAATGTGATCCCCAGTGTTGGAGGTGGGGCCTGGTGGTAGATGTTTGGGTCATAGGGGGCAGATCCCTTGGTGCTTTCCTCATGGTAATGAGTTCACAGGAGAGCTGGTTTTTTGTTTGTTTGTTTGTTTGTTTGTTTGTTGTTTTTTGAGACAGAGTCTCTGTCACCCAGGCTGGAACCCAACATCCACCTCCTGAGTTCAAGTGATTCTCGTGCCTCAGCCTCCTGAGTAGCTGGGACTACAGGTGCATACCACCATGCCTAGCTCATTTTTGCATTTTTAGTAGAGACAGGGTTTCACCATGTTGGCCAGTCTGGTCTCGAACTCCTGGCCTCAAGCGATCCAACCACCTCAGCCTCCCAAAGTGCTGGGATTACAGGTGTGAGCCACCACACCCAGCTGGAGCTGGTTGTTTAAATGAGCCTGGCACCTCCTCCCTCTCTCTTGCTTCCTCTCTTGCCATGTGGTATATACCTGCTCCCCCTTCACCTTCTGCCATGATTGTAAGTTCCTGAGGCTTTACCAGAAGTGGATGCTAGTACTGTGCTTCTTGTACAGCCTGTAGAACTGTGAGCCAAATAAACCTCTTTTCTTTATAAATTGCCCAGTCTCAGGTACTCGTTTATAGCAATGCCAAACAGACTAACACATTGGCCAAAAGCTCTTCCACTGGTTTTACCAAACCTAAAATTGACTCCTTTAAGTAAACACCAGTTATCTCCATTTGAAATTATAACAGACAGACTTATGAAATTCTCTCCTGGAAATTGCACCTCCTTAATAATAAAAGAAGATATATTCACTTATTAATGATCTTATGAAACAATTAACTAAAAATATTTGTTAAAGTGTTTCACATTG
Organism: Homo sapiens; assembly: GCF_000001405.40. NCBI lineage: Eukaryota > Metazoa > Chordata > Mammalia > Primates > Hominidae > Homo > Homo sapiens. The sequence continues at coordinate 54,930,515 of NC_000001.11, read as the reverse complement.
AGCTCCCAAGAGATGAAAATCTCAAGAACCACAGACTTCAACCTGGAGATTTTCTCATTGGAAACATCTTTTAAAGGACTCTCCAACCATGGTGGAATGGATCCTACCAAGTACTGCTTTCGAATCCTTGTGCAGCTAAATTAAAAGGCATAGACTCCTGGAATCTGTTTATCTAAAGAGGGCAAAACCTCCTGAATGGACTGTTACACCAGAAGGTGATCTTCAGTTTAAGCCAATGCCTGGACAAAAAGACGACAACATCAGAGATGGTCAGGTTTCCCAAGACATGAGACCAGTCCTATACCTAAATGAATGCTTATACTTACGTTATAGTAGCTGTAATTATTGTTGTCTTAGGAAGATAGATAATTGTTACCATCCTATGTAAAGTAGGACATTTGCCTTGTTTACTTTAACTAACTTCCTTAAATAATTTTTCCTTATAGTTGTCTCTCTGTCCCAATGCAAAGGATGGCATGTTAACACTTTGGTTAAGTTATCTCTAAGTATCACACTGGAGAAAACCTATCAGATTGTTGGATTTGTTATATGATTCCTAGCTTCATTCATGACCAATATAGGCCATAGTAACACCTGTCACTGACTTCTCAGATGTCCCTAAAGTTAAAGTCACCACTTATTTAGACTGACATCTTGCTGGATTAACTTTCCAGGTCTTACTACTGTATAACCCAAATACTGCTATCCCTTGTTTTAATTTGTCCCTTGTTTTTAATGGTAGAAATCCATTCTATATCATGAGACCTCCTCAATCCATGTGCTACTGGGTAAACAAATACACTCTAGATGATATGAACAAAGTTAAAGATAAGTCCTTACTATGCCAACCATACCTATATATAGGCTATGATATAAACAAATTCTGAAAAGCTTGCAAAGAAAGGAACCCATGGTTCAATTTGGTGTTGTCAGCATTCCCCATGAATGAATCTATTAGTGAGCACACCTTCAGGGGTACCACCTGTGCTCCCCCAGGACGTGTGTTTGTGTGTGACATGTGGTCTGAATCACCTACACAAAGATGGACACACCAATGCCTCAACAGATTACAAATAAAAGGTTTACACTTGCTGGAACATTTTCTAACCCCCTTATCCCTATACAAACATATAGAAGGACCCCCTTTTTCTCTTCATTATAGAGCTAAAAGGTCAATGTTAATAAGATATGTTGATAATATAGGTGAAAACATCCTGAGAATACCAATTCCAAATGCTAGAGTTTATGTCAACAGAGATATTATTCAAAACCTATTCACCACTATTGGTGAGATAGCTTAAGACACTGCAAAAAGTTTTATAGCTCAACAAAAATCTTTAAATTATTTAGCCCAGGTAGTACTGCTGTCCCCCATAGCTGGCCCTGAGTTCATGGGGCATGTGGTGGAGTGAACTAGAATAAAGACTGGAAAGGTAGGGTAGGCCACACCTGGAGGGTCTTCAATGCCAGGATAAGGAGTTGGAGCTTTATTCTGTAGGCAATGGGGCCATTGAAGGTTTCCCAGCAGCTGTGTCATGTATGAATTGGAACAGAATAGAGAGAAACAGTGCTGGGTGATGGGAGGATCTGGGTACTAAAGTTGAAAAGCTCTACATGCCAAGGACAGGCTTTTCTACAAAAAGAGAGGGCCCCACGCTCACCTTCTTTAAAACCTCTCCATATGATAAGTCACTCCCCTGGGAAGTGAGATAGAAACTTACTCCTCCACTGAAACGAGATATAGGACATTAATTAACACTCAAAAAGATTCATGATTCTTACCTTGCAGGATTATCTGAATATTAAATGAGATGAAGTATGCAAAGCACCCACCCTATAAGCAGCCTTTAATGAAAGGTAGTAGCAATAACTAGCATTGATTGAGCACTTAATCCTGTGCCAGTCACTGTGCTGGGCACTTTGCACACATTATCTTGTTTAATCCTCACTGCAACCTCATGAGGTTACATAATATCTAAGTTTAGAGGTGGAATCTGGCTCAGACTTGTTCAAGGCCGCATGAGTAACAAGTGAGGAACTAGGATTTGAACCCAGATATTTCTGTCCCCTGAACCAGAGTTCTCAACTGCTAAGCTCTTTTTCAGGGTACAGCTAAGCTTTAGGGATGTGAATGGAACCGTGGTGAGTTAGCAGGCTGGGTTGGAGAGGGAGAGCCAGCAGGCTGCAGTTTATACAGCAAGGCATCAGCCAGGCACAGTCGCTCACCTCTGTAATCCTAGCATTTTGGGGAGGCTGAGGTGAGAGGATCACTTGAGCCCGGCATGTTGAAGCTACAGTGAGCCGAAATGGCGTCACTGCATTCTAGCCTGGGTGACAGAAGAAGACACTGTCTCGAGAAAAAAAAAAAATAGCAGGGCATCCTCCAAGGTTTAGGTGCCCGCCATTGTTTCATTCTCACTTGCCTCTTATTACATTCTGAATTCCTGAGGTCTGAGCCTACTCTAATTCATCTTTGTAGCCCCAGGTCCTGGCCTGCTTTAGTCCCTCGGTGAATATGGGTTGAATGAATTAATTGAATGTCCTGAGTGCCTCCAAGAACAACCCTATCTCATTCCTCTCTGCCCCCTAGTTCCCAGCACAGGGTCTGGCATCTAGAGGGTCCTCATGTTTATGAACTGAATAGCCCCTCTGTGGACCCCAGACTCCTCATAAATCCAAAAATTCCTGATAAACCCCAAATCTTCTCTGAGAAGACTTTAGGCCTCAACTTCTTCCTATTGTTACTTCATCAGAAAATTATCTCCCACTAATCTCATCTTCACGGACAACTCAACCTTCCTAACTCACCATGTGCTTCTTGTTCTTGTTCTGTTTCAAAGATTGACTTAATCTCCTTTTAACATGTTGTGCTCTGGCAGCTCTCCAAAGGAGGCTCCAATCACAGGAGTCAGCCTTTCACTGACATTACTTCTAGTTCTATTAATAACCAGAAGGAAAGTATTATTAACTCCACCTTCCAGAGGAGGAAATGGAAAGGAAGAGCAAGCAATTTGCCTAACAAGCGGGAGAACTACAGTTAGAAGAAGTCCTGTTTATTCTAAAACCTGGACGCTTTTTCATTCCTCACCACTTCTAGAAAGCTAAAAAATTATTTTCAATTCAACTAGCAAATAGTTAATAATAAGGCCTTTCTATGGACCTAGCATTAAGGGAAAAGCATGTAGTAGCTTCACCCATTCTGGTGTGTGTGTGTGTGTGTGTGTGTGTATGTGTGTATTTGCTACTATACATCGAGCTCTCACTCTGACAGAGGCTGGACTCATCACAATGACCCAGTGGCTGCCTTCCAGTAATTCAGAGTCTAGTGGGGATATTTTGTTTACTTTTAAATTAACAGATCATAGAGTAGGTTAGTCAAGGTCCAGTTGTTTTAACAGAGAGTATAGAGAAATGTAAGCTAGGTTTAAATTGCTGACTTGGTAGCAGAAAAGTCAAGAATTACACACTTAAATATCATGGAGGTGGCAAGTGCAAGAAGCTGCCTCCATTCCTAGGTTTGGGGAACGAAGGGAGGAGGTTGGAATTATTAAAAGTAAGTGCTAAAGGAGGTTCTTGTGGGTCTGGAACCCAACCCCTGGGGACAGGGTCCTGATTGGCTGGTCCTGGTCCCTTTGAGGCTGATGGTGATGAGGATGGTTCTGCAAGGACTGGGAAAATGCAAACTGGATCCAGCTGCTGTTACAGAAAGGCAATGCTACTACAATGGCAGTGTTGCTGGGTGATGCGCCCAGGAAGAGGAAACTAGACATCCCTCCTCCCCTGTCTCTCTCCCTGTCTCTGTCTCTCCCTGTCTCTCCCTGTCTCTCTCCTCTCTCTCTCTCTCTCTCTCCTCTCTCTCTCTCTCTCTCCTCTCTCTCTCTCTCTCTCATCTCTTTCTCTCTCTCTCTCTCTCTCTCTCTCTCTCCTCTTTCTCCTTGAGCACATGCACAGATCCTAACATGGGGCCAGTGGGCAAAGCAGGAAAATATGGTTTGCATAGTCCCAGCCTATCTTAGTCTCTTTGGGCTACTATAACAAAATACCACAGAATGAGTATCTCAAATAACATTTATTTTTCACAGTTATGGAGGCTGAGAAGTCCAAGATCAAGGTGCCAGCTGATCTAGAGTCTGATGAGGACACTCTTCTTTGCAGACAGCTGTCTTCTCATTCTACGCTCATACAGTGGATTGCAGAGCACGAGGATGCAAGCTGTCTCTTGTCTCTTATGAAGGCACTAATCCCACTTATGAGGGCTCCACTCTCCTGACCTAATTACTTCCCCACCTCCTAATTCCATCCCACTGAGGATTAGGCTTCAACACATGGATTTGGGGAGGGACACAAATATTCAGTCCATAGCACAACCCCAGCATCCAAAGCTAAGTGCGGAAGGATGGGGTTGGAGCAAAGAGACAATAGCCTAGTAACTGACACACATGGTAAAGGCAAGGCTCTGGACTGGAAATTAGCATTCCCATGTCTGTATCCTGCCTCTTCCACTAACGTGCCATGCCACTTGAAGTAAGTCACTTGACTTCAACAACCTCAATTTCTTCTGCTGCAAAATGAGGGGGGCGGGGGCTGAACTCCTGCTTCTCACATTGTGCTTTGCAGGCCAGCAGCATTGGAATGACTTGGGGACTTGTTAGAAATGGAGTCTCAGCCCCCACCCAGAAGTCCTGCATCAGAATCCACATCTTAGCAAGATGCACAGGTGCAGTTGCATTTGAGAAGCTCTACTTCAAGAGCCCTGCCAACCAGGCCCATGCTAGGTAGGCATAAAAATGTGATGGAAAGGGATGGGGTTAACAGTTAGACAGGCTCGACCTGAATCCTCATTCTGCCATGGAAGCCTGGGGCAGTTGCTTAGTGTCTCTCAACTTTAATTTCCTCACCTGAAAAAGAAGGGAGAGGAGCAGAATTACACGAAACTCACAAGATTGTGATAAGGATGAAATGAAGGGCAGACACACCCAGCACCAGCAGGGACTCAGGATCATTTTGTAGACTCTACTGTAGAATCAGTGTGGGTCAGGACATCAGGGCAGGCCTCCTGAGAGCAAAATTGAAGCTGGGTCTCAAAGAATTCACAGGATGTGAACAGACAAACCAAAAAGACTGGAATCTGAAGGGACGTTTGTAAAACGTGAGACTGAGAGAGCTGTAACACAAACAGAGCTGACTCTTGAGACCCTTCGCAGAAATCAGAAGATCAGTGCCAAGGCGTCTTGCTTGAAAACTACATTTCTGCCTGCTAGACTTGCTGCCTAGACAGGTTTGGGAGCTTCTGCATGTAGGTGATGAGTGAGGTCACACCAGGAGTGGGGAATGTAAAGTTTTCAGAGAGCAATGGGCAAGAAGGGGACCCTGAGCCACACCAAGGCTGGGGCTGGGGTAGGGGCAGAGCCAGGCATGGGGCCAAGGGGTCAGACTGATGGAAGGAGGCTGCTGTTCACAGAGCCATGGGAGGACAGGGTTTCTGTTGCAGGAAGTCAGGGACCCCAAATGGAGGGACCAGCTGAAGCCATGGTGGAAGAACATAAATTGTGAAGATTTCATGGACACTTATCACTTCCCCAATCAATACCCTTGGGATTTCCTATGCCTGTCTTTACTTTAATCTCTTAATCCTGTCATCTCGTAAACTGAGGAGGATGTATGTCACCTCAGGACCCTGTGATGATTGCGTTAACTGCACAAATTGTAGAGCATGTGTGTTTGAACAATATGAAATCTGGGCACCTTGAAAAAAGAACAGGATAACAGCAATGTTCAGGGAACAAGAGAGATAACCTTAAACTCTGACTGCTGGTGAGCCGGGTGGAACAGAGCCATATTTCTCTTTTTTCAGAAGCAAATGGGAGAAATATCGCTGAATTCTTTTTCTCAGCAAGGAACATCCCTGAGAAAGAGAATGCCCCCCTGAGGGTAGGCCTCTAAAATGGCCCCCTTGGGTGTGGCCATCTTCTATGGTCGAAACTGTAGGGATGAAATAAGCCCCAGTCTCCCATAGCACTCCCAGGCTTATTAGGACAAGGAAATTCCCGCCTAATAAATTTTTGGTCAGACCAGTTGTCTGCTCTCAAACCCTGTCTCCTGATAAGATGTTATCAATGACAATGCGTGCCCGAAACTTCATTAGCAATTTTAATTTCGCCCCGGTCCTGTGGTCCTGTGATCTCACCCTGCCTCCATTTGCCTTGGGATATTCTATTACCTTGTGAAGCATGTGATCTCTGTGACCCACACCCTATTCGTACACTCCTTCCCCTTTTGAAATCACTAATAAAAATTTGCTGGTTTTATGGCTCAAGGGGCATCACAGAACCTACTGACATGTGATGTCTCCCCTGGATGCCCAGCTTTAAAATTTCTCTCTTTTGTACTCTGTCCCTTTGTTTCTCAATCCGGCCGATGCTTAGGGAAAATAGAAAAGAACCTACGTGACTATTGGGAGCAGGTTCCCCGATGGGTTTCAGGAGGAGAGAGGGACTGAGAAGGCAGGTGGGAGGACTGACAAGAGTGCACTGGATCTAGCAATTCTAAAGCCATTGGTGGCCTAGAAGCCAGTGATTAGCAGAGAGTCACAGGAGCTGAAGCAAGGCTACTGTGGGTATAGGAGCAAGGAAGTGGGAGCAGCCAGTATGGCCACTCCTCAGCCAAGGAACTTGTCTTTTTTATTTATTTATTTGTTTTAGATGGAGTCTCGCTCTGTTGCCCAGGCTGGTTGCAGTGTGGTGTGATCTTGTCTCACTGCAACCTCTGCCTCCCAGGTTCAAGCAATTCTTCTGCCTCAGCCTCCCTAGTAACTAGGATTACAGACATGTGCCACCAAGCCCGGCTAATTTTTGTATTTTTAGTAGAGACAGGGTTTCACCATGTTGGCCAGGCTGGTCTCAAACTCCTGACCTCAAGTGATCCTCCTGCCTCAGCCTCCCAGAGTGCTGGGATTACAGGCATGAGCCATTGTGCCCAGCCAAGAACTTGTCTTTAAGAGAAGGCAAGAGATGCTGGCTGGGCAAGGGGCTGATAGGATCCTTGAGGCACCTGGAGAAGACTGACTTAGCTGAGGTGTTTGCCTTTAACAGAGTCTTCCCAGGGGACATCTAGGGTTATGACATGTTCAGGCCAATTTACCAAATGAATACCAAAGATCAAATTAAGGTGTATTTCCACATTATGATTTCTCAACCCTTTTGTCTTCACAAACTAGCTGAGCAACATTACTGTGCTGGTGAGGAAAGGTAGGACTTGACTTTGGCAAAGGTATTATTTTGCAAAGGTGCTTGTTGTGTAAAGAGAAAATGAGACATGAGGGCAATGGTTGGGGTGGGGAGGGAGGGAGGCAGGATCAGGAGAGGGTTTTGTTGTTGCAAGAGCACATTTGAAGACAGGACAGAGAGATAATTGGGGTGAGTGGAGTTTGCGGGGAAGGGGATGTAAGAGCACATGTGAGGAATAATGAGAGGAGAGGCCCGGCTCCAGCTGGGTTAGCCTGTGACTGCCAGCAGAAGGAATTTGTCCTTGGCAGAGAGCAATGAAGCTGGTTGGGCAAAAGGCTGATAGGATTGTTGCTGCATGTAATGAAGATTAAGTTAGCTGGGGCGTCTGCCTTTAATTTGGCTGGGGAGTCTGCTCAGAGGATCTTGGGTTGACATTTAGTTTCAAGCCCACTTACTTGAGAATCATACTATGACTGTTCAACCCTATCATCTTCATAACTAGCTGAGCAACATTACTGTGCTGGTGAAGAAAGCTAGGACTTGATTTGGGCAAAGGTATTAACTCAGCCTGTTTCACAAATATAACTGTGTTGCTATTCACAATAGCAAAGACATGGAATCAACCTAAATGCCCATCAATGATAGACTGGATAAGGCAAATGTCATCCATATACACCACGGAATACTATGCAGCCATATAAAAGAATGCGATCATGTCCTTTGCAGGGACATGGATGGAGCTGGAGACCACTATTCTTACCAAAGTAACACAGAAACAGAAAACCAAATACCACATGTTTTCACTTTCAAGTGGGAGCTAAATAATCTAAATAATGAGAACACATGGACACTTAGAGAGGAACAACACACACTGGGGCCTGTTGGAGGGTGAGAGGAGGAAGAGGATCAGGAAAAACGACTAATGGGTACTAAGCTTGATATCTGGGTGATGAAATAATCTGTACAACAAACCCTATGACACAAGTTTACCTATGTAACAAACTTGCACCTGTAACCCTGAACTTAAAAGTTAAAATAAAATAAACATGCTGGTTTCTTTGGGGGATGAAACTGTCCTAAAATTAGAAATGGTGATGGTTGCACAACTCTGTAAATATACTAAAGAAGTATTGAACTGTACACTTTGAACAGGTGAATTTTATGATATACAAATTCTATCTCAATACGTGTTCTAAAAACAGCCTGTACAATGTGACACACTAAGCCAAGGGAAACAATTAGTTTTCCACCTACAATGAAAGAATGCTTTCTTCCTAGAGGCTCCAACTCTTTCAAGCTGCTACACACATTCTCACTAACGCCAACATCTGCCTCTACTAACCCTGCTAGTCCACACTCTGGGACCACTGCTAGGCTGAGTTTTCATTACTATGGAACAGAGTTCTAGTTATATGATACCTGACTTACTCACCATTGCATCCCTAGCACCTAGGAGACCACCTAACACATGAATGAAAAAATGACACAGCTGGAAAAAACATAAAGATTTATATTTAATGTCAATAACCCTAAGGACAAGAAAAGGAATGCTGAAAGAGGTTAACAAAATGGAGCACACTTAGCTAGTAAGTGGTAGTTAGTTCAGTCCAAAATGTATTTACTGAGCATCTGTGTAGAAAGTACTATTTGGCTGGGCGCGATGGCTCACGCCTGTAATCCCAACACTTTGGGAGGCCGAGGTGGGCGGATCATGAGGTCGGGAGATCGAGACCATCCCAGCTAACATGGTGAAACACCGTCTCTACTAAAAATACAAAAAAAAAATTAGCTGGGTGTGGTGGCGGGTGCCTGTAGTCCCAGCTACTTGGGAGGCTGAGGCAGGAGAATGGCATGAACCCAGGAGGCAGAGCTTGAAGTGAGCCAGGATGGCGCCACTGCACTCAGCCTGGGTGAGAGAGCAAGACTCCATCTCAAAAAAAATAAAACAAAACAAACAAAAAAAAAACCCCAGAAAGTACTATTCTAAGCACTGTGAGAAATACAAACGTAGGCTGGGCATAGTGCCTCACACCTGTAATCTCAGCACTTTGGGAGGCTCAGGTGGGCGGATCACCTGAGGTCAGGAGTTCCAGACCAGCCTGGCCAACATGGTGAAACCCCATCTCTATTAAAAATACAAAAATTAGCCAGGCGTGGTGGCCAACCCCTGTAATCCCAGCTACTCAGGAGGCTGAGGCAGGAGAATCACTTGAACCCAGAGGGCAGAGGTTGAAGTAAGCCAAGATTGTGCCACTGCACTCCAGCCTGGGTGACAGAGTGAGACCCTGTCTCAAATAAAAAGAAAGAAAGAAATACAAAGGTGATTAAGGTGAAGTCCCTACTCTCAACAAATAGGGGACATAAAACATGTTACCCACACAGGGGAAAGGAGCAAGACAGACACTGAAGGCTCTGAGCAGGGGGCCTTCTGTGCCTTGGTCTCATTTAGTCTTCACAGACACCATAGGAAAAGGATTTTATTATCCCCAACTTACAGACAAGGAATTTAATCTCAGGGACATGATACACTAATAAAAGGAAGATTCAGAACTCGAACCCAGGTCTAACTGGTGGCAAAACCTAAGCTCTTTTCATAACACCACTATAATTTTAAAAATAAAGGCAAAATGAGTTCAAAGGAATAAGTTGCTCACATCTCTTTGGGGATGGCAGGAAAGGTTTCATGAGAGAAGTAGTACTGGGTCACTGAAAATATTTGACAGCAAGCCAATTTGAGGGCAGGTGTGTGGAGATGGGTGGCCATTTTTGGATGGAGAAAATGCAGGAGAAATTGTGTCTATAAATAAAAGCCCACAACTCAGTTCAACTGGAACCAGAGTCCACATACTGGGGACTAGGTGGGACAAAGTGGGAGCAGGTGGGACAACCAAGGTGGGACAATAGTGGGGACAAGGTGGGAGCAGGAATTTGGGGCTGTATCATATGCAAGTCCTTGAAAGCCAAGAAGAGAAACTTGGACTTACTTTGAAGACAGTATTTCAGCAGGGGGATGATGCATAGTAATGCATAATCAGAATTAGGTTTTAGGGAGATCAGCCTGTCAGCGTATGTAGGCTGGCTTACCAAAGGGAGAGGAATTGGAGGCCAGGAATCTATTAAGAGGTTGTTGACGTAGTCCAGGGCCAGAAATAGTTGGTGTGCAATGGGATTGGAAAGGTGACAATGATGTTCATTGCTATAATGTACATGTGTCTAGATGCAACCCATCTATATTACAATTTTATAATTGCTGAACACATATGTTTAGTAGTAAAAACAGAGATATTTATTGAGTACTTGCTTGTACTGGCCACTTTGCTAAGTGCTTTATAAGCACTAATTTATTTTCTACGAATAGCAGCCTTTTTAAGTGGATGCTATTATTATACCTATTGTAAAGATGAGGAAATTGAGGCTTAGAGAGAGTAGAAATACACACAAGGTCATATAATGAGTAATTGCATAGACAGAGCTCAACCCAGATTTGTTTGACTCCAAAGTCCATCATACTCACCACACTACCTACTCAGCCCTCGTGGCCACCTCTTCCTGGCTCAGCCTCCTCCAAATTAGCAATATTTATATGGAACTTTCAGAGCATTCTGAGAAAATGGAAATAGCATGAGCTCCAGAGTGCCACAGACTTGAGTGTGGGATCCTGGCTCAGTTACTCACAAGCCAAGTGATACTGGGTATGTTTGTTACTTGGCCTACCTGAGCTGATTTTCTTTCTGTAAAACGGAGAGAGCAGACCTGCTTCCCAGTGAGAGACAGGACTAGCTGGATTTCCTAGGTGGACTAAGAATCCCTAAGCCCAGCTGGGAAGGTCACCGCATCCACCTTTAAACATGGGGCTTGCAACTTAGCTCACACCAGAGAGAGCTCACTAAAATGTTGATTAGGCAAAAACAGGAGGTAAAGAAATAGCCAATCATCTATCACCTGAGAGCACAGCGGGAGGGACAATGATCGGGATATAAACCCAGGCATTCGAGCCAGCAACGGCTACCCTCTTTGGGTCCCCTCCCTTTGTATGGGATCTCTGTTTTCACTCTATTAAATCTTGCAGCTGCACTCTCTTCTAGTCCATGTTTGTTACGGCTGGAGCTGAGCTTTCGCTCGCCGTCCACCACTGCTGTTTGCCGCTGTCACAGACCCTCCACTGACTTCTATCCCTCTGAATCCGGCAGGGTGTCTGCTGTGCTTCTGATCCATTACCACTCCTGATTGGGCTGAAGGCTTGCCATTGTTCCTGCATGGCTAAGTGCCGGGGTTCATCCTAATCAAGCTGAACACTAGTCACTGGGTTCCACAGTTCTCTTCCGTGACCCACAGCTTCTAATAGAGCTATAACACTCACCGCATGGCCCAAGATTCCATCTCTTGGAATCCGTGAGGCCAAGAACCCCAGGTCAGAGAACAAGAGGCTTGCCACCATCTTGGAAGAGGCCCGCCACCATCTTGGGAGCTCTGGGAGCAACGACCCCCCAATAACATTTTGGCAACCATGAAGGGACCTCCAAAGCAGTGAGTAATAATTGGACCACTTTCACTTGCTATTCTGTCCTATCATTCCTTAGAATTGGAGGAAAATAACCGGGCACCTGTCGGCCAGTTAAAAACGATTAGCGTGGCCACTGGACTTAAGATTCAGGTGTGAGTATTAAGGGCTCTCTAACAACCCCCAACCCTTCTGGGTTGGGAGCATTCATCTGCCTAGAACCACCTTCCACTTTCAATATTCTTGGGGAAGCCCAGAGCCGACTAGAGGCAGAAAGCTGTTGTCTCAAACTCCCGGCATTAGCCGGTTGAGATCATGGCACAGCCAGAAGTCTCTACTCAACAGTCACCCATGCGTGCGCCCCTACCTTTCCTTCTGACCCATACCTCCTGGGTCCCGACCACGACTTCTTGAAAGTATAGCCCCAAAATTCTTCTTACCTCTGAATGTACTTCCTCTGATCCCTGCCTCCTAGGTACTAATGGTTCAGACTTATATTTCCTCTGGCAAGTTGTATCTCCAAAGGGATCTAAGGAAGCTCTATTCTGAGTTCTTAGGCCCCTAGGCTATAAACCCAAGGAGTCTTATCCCTGGTGTCCCTCCCGATTTAGTTATACAGCTCTTGACATGGGCAGTTATGTGGGACCCGTTCCCCACCACCCTTGCCAGGGCCCCAAGTTTGTAATGGCTAAGAGGAGAGAGAGATGGAGGAGGGAGGGAGAGGGAGGGGAGGGAGAGAGACAAAGAAAAAGAAATAGTTAAAAAACAAAAACAAAAAAAACATTGTGCCCTATTCCTTTAAAAGCCAGGGTAAATTTAAAACCTATAATTGATAATTGAAGATCTTCTCCATGACCCTGTAACACTCCAGTACTACCTGTCAGTGTAAACAAGGGCATAGCCTGAAAACACTGAGACCACTGACAACCTGTAGACTTCCTATTAAAAATCCTTAACCCGGTAACCTGTGGGTGGCCCAAATGCATTCAATCTGTAGTGGCAACTGCTTTGCTAACAGAAGAAAGTAGAGAAGTAACTTTTAGAGGAAAACTCATTGTGAGCACACCTCACCAGTTCAGAATTATTCTAAGTCAAAAAAAGCAAAAAGGTAGCTTACTAACTCAAAAATCTTAAAGTATGGGGCTATTCTGTTGGCAAAAGGTGATTTAACACTAACCACTGATAATTCCCCTAACCCAGCAGATTTCCTAATGGGATTTAAATCTTAATTACCATACAAAGGTCCAACCAGACCTAGGAGGAACTCCCTTCAGGACAGGACAATATATGGTTCCTTCCAGGTGATTGAGGAAAAAACCACAAACGATATTCAGTAATTGATAGGGAGACTCTTGTGGAAGCAGAATTGGAAGAATTGCCTAATAATTGGTCTCCTCAAACATGGGAGCTGTTTGCACTCAGCCAAGCCTTAAAGTACTTACAGAATCAAAAAAGACTCTCAATCCTGACTCAAAAGGTTACTTACACCCTCTCTGAAATGAATTTGCATAAGAACAGTTGCTTATGGGAATGCATCTTGATGGGGCAGCTGGGTTGTTATGAAATACTCAGGTACCCAGCCCAGCTCTAGGACTCACCCCTGAGCACAAACGCAATGTTGGGCACGCTGGTAAAGGACCACTAGAATCCAGCAGCCTGGACCCCTTTCTTTGTGTCAAGGAAGGTGGGAAAACAGGTGCAGGACTGCTACATTGGTGAGCGTAACTAATCCGATAAGCAGAGGTCCATGGGTTGTTACGCACCCTGGAAAGGAATAAGCATTAGGACCACAGAGGACGCTCTAGGACTAATGCTCATCAGAAAATGACTAGGGGTGCTGTCATCCCTATGTTCTTTTTTCAGATGGGAAACGTTCCCCCCAAGGCAAAAACGCCCCTAAGATGTATTCTGGAGAATTGGGACCAATTTGACCCTCAGACGCTAAGAAAGAAATGACTTATATTCTTCTGCAGTCCTGCCAGGCCACAATATACTCTTCAAGAGGGAGAAACCTGGCCTCCTGAGGGAAGTAAAAATTATAACACCATCTTACAGCTAGACCTCTTTTGTAGAAAAGAAGGCAAATGGAGTGAAGTGCCATATGTACAAACTTTCTTTTCATTAAGAGACAACTCGCAATTTTGTAAAAAGTGTGATTTATGCCCTACAGGAAGCCTCAGAGTCTACCTCCCTACCGGAGCATCCCACTGACTCCTTCCCCAACTAATAAGGACCCCCCCTTCACCCCAAGTGGTCCAAAAAGAGATAGACAAAGGGGTAAACAATGAACCAAAGAGTGCCAATATTCCCTGATTATGCCCCCTCCAAGCAGTGGGAGGAGGAGAATTCAGCCCAGCCAGACTGCATGTACCTTTTTCTCTCCCAGACTTAAAGCAAATTAAAATAGACCTAGGTAAATTCTCAGATAACCCTGATGGCTATATTGATGTTTTACAAGGGTTAGGAGAATCCTTTGATCTGATGTGGAGAGAGATAATGTTACTGCTAGATCAGACACTAACCCCAAATGAGAGAAGTGCCACCATAACTGCAGCCCGAGAGTCTGGCGATCTCTGGTGTCTCAGTCAGGTCAATGATAGGATGACAACAGAGGAAAGAGAATGATTCCCCATAGGCCAGCAGGCAGTTCCCAGTGTAGACCCTCACTGGGACATAGAATCAGAACATGGAGATTGGTGCTGCAGACATTTGCTAACTTGTGGGCTAGAAGGACTAAGGAAAACTAGGAAGACTATGAATTATTCAATGATGTCCACTATAACACAGGGAAAGGAAGAAAATCCTACTGCCTTTCTGCAGAGACTTGAAAGGCATTGAGGAAGCATACCTGTCTGTCACCTGACTCTATTGAAGGCCAACTAATCTTAAAGGAAAAGTTTATCACTCAGTCAGCTGTGGACATTAGAAAAAAACTTCAAAAGTCACCTTAGACCCGGAGCAAAACTTAGAAACCCTATTGAACTTGGTAACCTCAGTTTTTTATAATAGAGATCAGGAGGAGCAGGTGGAATGGGACAAGAGGGATAAAACAAAAGCCACCGCTTTAGTCATGGCCTTCAAGCAAGCGGACTTTGGAGGCTCTGGAAAAGGGAAAAGCTGGGCAGATTGAATGCCTAACAAGGCTTGCTTCCAGTGCGGTCTATAAGGACATTTTAAAAAAGATTGTCCAAGTAGAAATAAACCGCCCCCTCATCCATGCCCCTTATGTCAAGGGAATCACTGGAAGGCCCATTGCCCCAGGAGACGAAGGTCCTCTGAGTCAGAAGCCACTAACCAGATGATCCAGCAGCAGGACTGAGGGTGCCCGGGGCAAGTGCCAGCCCATGCCATCACCCTCACAGAGCCCTGGGTATGCTTGGCCATTGAGGGCCAGGAGGTTAACTGTCTCCTGGACACTGGCACGGCCTTCTCAGTCTTACTCTTCTGTCCTGGACAACTGTCCTCCACATCTGTCACTATCCAAGGGGTCCTAGGACAGGCAGTCACTAGATACTTCTCCCAGCCACTAAGTTGTGACTGGGGAACTTTACTCTTTTCACATGCCTTTCTAATTATGCCTGAAAGCCCCACTCCCTTGTTAGGGAGAGACATTGTAGCAAAAGCAGGGGCCATTATACATCTGAACGTAGGAAAAGGAACACCTGTTTGTTGTCCCCTGCTTGAAGAAGGAATTAATTCTGAAGTCTGGACAACAGAAGGACAATATGGGCGAGCAAAGAATGCCCATCCTGTTCAAGTTAAACTAAAGGATTCCACCTCCTTTCCCTACCAAAGGCAGTACCCGCTTAGACCCAAGGCCCAACAGGGACTCCAAAAGATCGTTATGGACCTAAATGCCCAAGGCCTAGTAAAACCATGCAATAGCCCCTGCAATACTCCAATTTTAGGAGTACAGAAACCCAACAGGCAGTGGAGGTTAGTGCAAGACCTCAGGATTATCAATGAGGCCATTGTCCCTCTATACCCAGCTGTACCTAACCCTTACACTCTGCTTTCCCAAATACCAGAGGAAGCAGAGTGGTTTACAGTCCTGGACCTTAATGATGCCTTTTTCTGCATCCCTGTACATCCTGACTTTCAATTCTTATTTGCCTTTGAAGATCCTTCAAACCCAACGTCTCGACTCACCTGGACTGTTTTACCTCAAGGGTTCAGGGATAGCCCCCATCTATTTGGCCAGGCATTAGCCCAAGACTTGAGCCAATTCTCATACCTGGACATTCTTGTCCTTTGGTGCATGGATGATTTACTTTTAGCCACCCATTCAGAAACCTTGTGCCATCAAGCCACCCAAGCACTCTTAAATATCCTTGCTACCTGTGGCTACAAGGTTTACAAACCAAAGGCTCAGCTCTGCTCACAGCAGGTTAAATACTTAGGGCTAAAATTATCCAAAGGCACCAGGGCCCTCAGTGAGGAATGTATCCAGCCTATGCTGGCTTATCCTCATCCCAAAACCCTAAAGCAACTAAGAAGGTTCCTTGACATAACAGGTTTCTTCCGAATATGGATTCCCAGGTACGGCAAAATAGCCAGGCCATTATATATACTAATTAAGGAAACTCAGAAAGCCAATACCCATTTACTAAGATGGACACCTGAAGCAGAAGCGGCTTTCCAGGCCCTAAAGGAGGCCCTAACCCAAGCCCCAGTGTTAAGCTTGCCAACGGGGCAAGAATTTTCTTTATATGTCACAGTAAAACACAGGAATAGCTCTAGGAGACCTTACACAGGTCCGAGGGATGAGCTTGCAACCCATGGCATACCTGAGCAAGGAAATTGATGTAGTGGCAAAGGGTTGGCCTCATTGTTTATGGGTAGTGGCAGCAGTAGCAGTCTTAGTATCTGAAGCAGTTAAAATACAGGGAAGAGATCTTACTGTGTGGTCATCTCATGATGTGAACGCCATACTCATTGCTAAAGGAGACTTGTGGCTGTCAGACAACTGTGAGGAAAGTAACTAAAATCATAAATCCCCATGGCTCTCCCTTATCGTATTTTTCTCTTTACTGTTCTCTTACCCCCTTTCACTCTCACTGCACCCCCTCCATGCCACTCTATGACCAGTAGCTCCCCTTACCAAGAGTTTCTTGGAGAATGCAGCTTCCCGGAAATATTGATGCCCCATTGTATAGGAGTTTATCTAAGGGAACCTCCACCTTCACTGCCCACACCCATATGTCCCGCAACTGCTATAACTCTGCCACTCTTTGTATGCATGCAAATACTCATTATTGGACAGGGAAAATGATTAATCCTAGTTGTCCTGGAGGACTTGGAGCCACTATCTGTTGGACTTACTTCACCCATACCGGTATGTCTGATGGGGGTGGAGTTCAAGATCAGGCAAGAGAAAAACACGTAAAGGAAGTAATCTCCCAACTGACCCAGGTACATAGTACTCCTAGCCCCTACAAAGGACTCAATCTCTTAAAACTACATGAACCCCTCCGTACCCATACTCACCTGGTAAGCCTATTTAATACCACCCTCACTGGGCTCCATGAGGTCTCGGACCAAAACCCTACTAACTGTTGGATGTGCCTCCCCCTGCACTTCAGGCCATACATTTCAGTCCCTGTACCTGAACAATGGAATAACTTCAGCACAGAAATAAACACCACTTCCATTTTAGTAGGACCTCTTGTTTCCAATCTGGAAATAATCCATACCTCAAACCTCACCTGTGTAAAATTTAGCAATACTATAGCAACAGCCAACTCCCAATGCATCAGGCGGGTTACTCCTCCCACGCGAATAGTCTGCCTAACCTCAGGAATATTTTTTGTCTGTGGTACTTCAGCCTATCGTTGTTTGAATGGCTCTTCAGAATCTATGTGCTTCCTCTCATTCTTAGTGCCCCTATGACCATCTACACTGAACAAAATTTATACAATCATGTTGCACCTAAGCCCCGCAACAAAAGAGTACCCATTCTTCCTTTTGTTATTGGAGCAGGAGTGCTAGGCGGACTAGGTACTGGCCCTGGCGGTATCACAGCATCTACTCAGTTCTACAAACTATCTCAAGAACTAAATGGTGACATGGAACGGGTCGCTGACTCCCTGGTCACATTGCAAGATCAACTTAACTCCCTAGCAGCAGTAGTCCTTCAAAATCAGACAGCTTTAGACTTGCTAACCGCCGAAAGAGGGGGAATCTGTTTATTTTATTTTATTTTATTTTATTTTATTTTATTTATTTATTTATTTATTTTGAGACGGAGTCTCGCTCTGTCACCCAGGCTGGAGTGCAGTGGCACAATCTTGGCTCACTGCAACCTCCGCCTCCCGGGTTCACACCATTCTCCTGCCTCAGCCTCCTGAGTAGCTGGGACTACAGACTCCCACCACCATGCCCGGCTAATTTTTTGTATTTTTGGTAGAGATTGGTTTCACCATGTTAGCCAGGATGGTCTCCATCTCCTGACCTCGTGATAACCCCACCTCGGCCTCCCAAAGTGCCGAGATTAAAGGCGTGAGCCACCACGTCCTGCCGGAACCTGTTTATTTTTAGGGGAAGAATGCTGTTATTATGTTAATCAATCCAGAATCGTCACCGAGAAAGTTAAAGAAATTTGAGATTGAACATAATGTAGAGCAGAGGAGCTTCAAAACACCAGAACCTGCGGCCTCCTCAGCCAATGGATGCCCTGGATTCTCCCCTTCTTAGGACCTTTAGCAGCTATAATATTGTTACTCCTCTTTGGACTCTATATCTTCAACCTCCTTGTTAAGTTTGTCTCTTCCAGAATTGAAGCTCTAAAGCTACAAATTGTTCTTCAAATGGAGCCCCAGATGCAGTCCATGACTAAAATCTACCACGGACCCCTGGGCCGGCCTGCTAGTCCATGCTCTGATGTTAATGACATCGAGGGCAATCCTACCAAGGAAATCTCAACTGCACCACCCCTACTATGCCCCAATTCAGCAGGAAGCAGTTAGAGGTTGTCGGCCAACCTCCCCAACAGCACTTGGGTTTTCCTGTTAAAGAGGGGGAACTGAGAGACAGGACTAGCTGGATTTCCAAAGCCAACTAAGAATCCCTAAGCTAGCTGGGAAGGTGACCGCATCCACCTTTAAACATGGGGCTTGCAACTTAGCTCACACCCAACCAATCAAGTAGTAAAGAGAGCTCACTAAAATGCTAATTAGGCAAAAACAGGAGGTAAAGAAATAGCCAATCATCTATCACCTGAGAGCACAGCGGGAGGGACAATGATCGGGATATAAACCCAGGCATTCGAGCTGACAATGGCTACCCTCTTTGGGTCCCCTCCCTTTGTATGGGAGCTCTGTTTTCACTCTATTAAATCTTGCAACTGCAATTCTTCTGGTCCCTGTTTGTTACAGCTGGAGCTGAGCTTTCGCTCGCTGTGCACCACTGCTGTTTGCCACCGTCACAGACCCGCCACTGACTTTCATCCCTCCAAATCTGGCAGGGTGTCCACTGTGCTCCTGATCCAGCAAGGCACCCATTGCCGCTCCTGATCGGGCTAAACGCTTGCCATTGTTCCTGCATGGCTCAGTGCCCGGGTTCATCCTAATCGAGCTGAACACTAGTCACTGGGTTCCACGGTTCTCTTCCATGACCCACGGCTTCTAATAGAGCTATAACACTCACCGCATGGCCTAAGATTCCATCCCTTGGAATCCGTGAGGCCAAGAACCCCAGGTCAGAGAACACGAGGCTTGCCACCATTTTGGAAGTAGCCCGCCACCATCTTGGGAGCTCTGGGAGAAACGACCCCCCGGTAACACCAGAGCTATTGTGAAGACTTAAAGTAAGAACATATGGAACATTCCTAGGCGGTGTGGCACGTGATAACTAACGTGCAATAAGTGGCAGTTGCTGATTAATAATAAAAAGGCATCCAGACCAGGCTGACAGGAGGACAGGAGATCAAATCACTCCATCTGTTACCTACCTCGGCATAATTCTTCATAAAAACACATGTGGTCTCCCTGCCGATCGTGTCCTACTGATCTCTCAAACCCCAACACCTTCTACAAAGCAACTTCTTTCCTTCCTAGGCATGGTTAGATACTTTTGACTTTGGATACCTGGTTTTGCCTCTGCCCAGGACTGGCAAATTGACTTTACTCACATGCCCCAAGTCAAAAAACTAAAATACCTCTTGCTCTGGGTAGACACTTTCACTGGATGGGTGGAGGCCTTTCCCACAGGGTCTGAAGGCCACCGCGGTCATTTCTTCCTTTCTGTCAGATATAATTCCTTGGTTTGGCCTTCCCACCTCTATACAGGCTGATAACGGACCAGCCTTTACTAGTCAAATCACCCAAGCAGTTTCTCAGGCTCTTGGTATTCAGTGGAAACTTCATATCCCTTATCATCCTCAATCTTCAGGAAAGGTAGAACGGACTAATGGTCTTTTAAAGACACACCTCCCCAAGCTCAGCTTCCATCTTAAAAAGGACTGGACAGTACTTTTACCTCTTGCCCTTCTCAGAATTAGAGCCTGTCCTTGAGATGCTACAGGGTACAGTCCATTTGAACTTTTATATGCACGCACTTTCTTGCTCAGTCCCAACCTCATCCCAGACACCAGCCCTGTAGGCGACTATCTTCCAGTTCTCCAGCAGGCTAGACAGGAAATCCACCAGGCTGCTAATCTTCTCTTGCCTACTCCAGATTCTCAGCCATACAAAGACACCCTAGCTGGACGATCAGTTCTGGTTAAGAATCTGACCCCTCAAACTCTACAACGTCGTGGACAGGACCCTATTTAGTCATCTATAGTACCCCAACTGCTGTCTGCCTGCAGGATCCTTCCCACTGGGTTCACCATTCCAGAATAAAGCTGTGTCCGTCGGACAGCCAGCCTAATCCCTCCTCTTCCTCCTGGAAGTCGCAAGTATTCTCCCCTACTTCCCTTAAACTCACTCATATTTCTGAAGAACAGTAATAACCCTTGTGAGCCTAATACATCCCTTCATTCTATTAGGTCTGTTCATCCTTACCCTACTTTTTGCAACAGGGCTTTATGAAGTCACCCCCACTACTTGGACCGAACCCCAAAAACTAGTCATCCCTACTATCTTCTGTCTAGTCATACTCCTATTCACTGTTCTCAACTACTTATAAATGTCCTACTCTTGTCTACACTGCCAGTTTACACTGTTTCTCCATGCCATCACAGCTGATATCTCTTGGTGCTATCCCCAAACTGCCACTCTTAACTCCCTCTTAGAGTGGATAGATGATCTTTGCTGGCAGGGGACCCTCCAATACTTTCACCCTGATGAAGTTCTATTCTTTACTTTTATACTCACTGTGATTCTCATTCCCATTCTTATGCCACCCTCTACCTCTCCCCAGCTATCTCCACCACACTATCAACCTTACCCATTCTCTCCTAGCTGTTTCTAAACCTTCCTTAGCAAACAACTGCTGGCTTTGCATTTCTCTTTCTTCCAGCGCCTACACAGCTGTCCCCGCCTTACATACAGACTGAGCAACATCTTCTGTCTCCCTATGCCTCCTAACTTTAACAGCCCTCACGTTTACCTTCGTGAAGAACTCATTTACTTTCTAGATAGGTCCAGCAGGACCTCCCCAGACATTTCACATCAGCAAGCTGCTGCCCTCCTTCACACTTACTTAAAAAACCTTTCTCCTTATATCAACTCTACTCCCCCCGTATTTGGACCCCTCACAACACAAACTACTATTCCACTCATTTATGTATCTCTCGGCAAAGACCCACTGGAATTCCCCTGGGTAACTTTTCACCTTCTCAATGTTCCTTTACTCTTCATTTCCAAAGCCCAACTATACACATCACTGAAACAATTGGAGCCTTCCAGCTCCATATTACAGATAAGCCCTCTATCAATACTGGCAAACTTAAAAACATTAGCAGTAATTATTGCTTAGGAAGACGCTTACCTTGTATTTCACTCCATCCTTGGCTACCTTCCCCTTGCTCATCAGACTCTCCTCCCAGGCCCTCTTCTTGTTTACTTAGTAAACAAGCCCTGAAAATAACAGTGAAAATTTGCTCATAGACACTCAACGTTTTCTCCTACACCATGAAAATCGAACCTCCCCCCCTACGCAGTTACCTCCTCAGTCCCCATTACAACCTCTGATGGCTGCTGCCCTAGCTGGATCCCTAGGAGTCTGGGTACAAGACACCCCTTTCAGCACTCCTTCTCATCTTTTTACTTTGCATCTCCAGTTTTACCTCGCACAAGGTCTCTTCTTCCTCTGTGGATCCTCTACCTACATGTGTCTACCTGCTAATTGGACAGGCACATGCACACTAGTTTTCCTTACTCCCAAAATTCAATTTGCACATGGGACCTAAGAGCTCCCTTTTCCCCTCATGACATCGACATGACAAAAAAGAGTTATTCTAGTAATTCCCTTGATGGTCGGTTTAGGACTGTCTGCCTCCATTATTGCTCTCGGTACTGGAATAGCAGGCATTTCAACCTCTGTCATGACCTTCCGTAGCCTGTCTAATGACTTCTCTGGTAGCATCAGAGACATATCACAAACTTTATCAGTCCTCCAGGCCCAAGTTGACTCTTTAGCTGCAGTTATCCTCCAAAACCGCCGAGGCCTTGACTTACTCACTGCTGAAAAAGGAGGACTCTGTATATTTTTAAATGAAGAGTGTTGTTTTTACCCAAATCAATCTGGCCTGGTATATGACAACATAAAAAAACTCAAGGATAGAGCCCAAAAACTTGCCAACCAAGCAAGTAATTACGCTGAACCCCCTTGGGCACTCTCTAATTGGATGTCCTGGGTCCTCCCAATTCTCAGTCCTTTAATACCTACTTTTCTCCTTCTTTTATTCGGACCTTGTATCTTCTGTTTAGTTTCTCAATTCATCCAAAACTGTATCCATGGCATCACCAATCATTCTATATGACAAATGCTCCTTCTAACAACCCCACAATATCACCCCTTACCACAAAATCCTCCTTCAACTTGACCTCTCCCACTGTAGGTTCCCATGCCACCCCTAATCCGCAGCCCTGAGAAACATCGCCCATTATCTCTCCATGCCACCCCCCCCAAAAAAAATTTTTTTTGCTGCCCCAACACTTCAATACTATTTTATGTTATTTTTCTTATTAATGTAAGAAGGCAGGGGCCAGGTGCAGTGGCTCACACCTGTAATCCCAGCACTTTGGGAGGCTGAGGCAGGTGGATCATGAGGTCAGGAGATCGAGACCATCCTGGCTAACACGATGAAACCCCTTCTCTACTAAAAATACAAAAAATTAGCCAGGCGTGGTGGCGGGCGCCTGTAGTCCCAGCTATTCAGGAGGCTTAGGCAGGAGAATGGCATGAACGCGGGAGGCGGAGCTTGCAGTGAGCCGAGATCGCGCCACTGCACTCCAGCCTGGGCGACAGAGTGAGACTCCGTCTCAAAAAAGAAAAAAAAAAAAAAAAAGAAGGCAGGAATGTCAGGCCTCTGAGCCCAGGCTAAGCCATCGCATCCCCTGTGACCTGCACGTATATGCCCAGATGGCCTGAAGTAACTGAAGAATCAGAAAAGAAATGAAAATGGCCTGTTCCTGCCTTAACTGATGACATTCCACCATAAAAGAAGTGCAAATGGCCGGTCCTTGCCTTAACTGATGACACTGTCTTGTGAAATTCCTTCTCCTGGCTCATCCTGGCTCAAAAAGCACCCCCACTGAGCATCTTGTGACCCCCACTCCTGCCCGCCAGAGAACAACCCCCACTTTGACTGTAATTTTCCTTTACCTACCCAAATCTCATAAAATGGCCCCACCCCTATCTCCCCTTCGCTGACTCTCTTTTCGGACTCAGCCTGCCTGCACCCAGGTGAAATAAACAGACTTGCTGCTCACACAAAGCCTGTTTGGTGGTCTCTTCACACAGATGCGAGTGAAAGCAAGGGCCAATTAAGAGCACTGCCTGCATTAAGAGCACAGAGAAGGGAGATGGAATAGTCATCTTCAAATGCATACAGCGTTGTCAAGTGGGGGAGACTGTGGCTCAAGAGGGCAGAACTGGGACTAAGGAGATTAGTCTGCAGTTTCCAACTACCTGAGGTAACTCACATGGAAACGTGTTTTGTTTTGTTTTGTTTTAGACAGAGTTGCTTTGTCACCCAGGCTGGAGTAGCTGTGATTACAGATATGTGCCACCGTGCTTGGCTAATTTTTGTATTTTTAGTAGGGACGGGGTTTCTCCATGTTCGCCAGGCTGGTCTCGAACTCCTGATCTCAGGTGATCCGCCTGCCTCAGCCTCCCAAAGTGCTGGAATTACAGGCATGAGCCACCACACCCGGCTGGGTCTCAGTTAATTTAGACAGTTTATTTTGTCAATGTTGAAGAAATGTACCCATTATACAGCCTCAGGAAATCCTGATGACATGTGCCCAAGGTGGTTGGGGCACAGCTTGGTTTTAAACATTTTAGAGAGACATGAGACATCAGTCAATATATGTAAGAAGTACATTGGTTTGGTCTGGAAAGGCGGGACAACTTGAAGCAAAGGCAGGAAGACTCTAAGTGAAAGTGGGAGGGAGCTTCCAGGTCACTCATAGGGGAGAGACAAATAGTTGCATTCTTTTGAGTTTCTGATTAGCCTTTCCAAAGGAGGCAATCACATATGCATTTATCTCAGTGAACAGAGATAACTTTGAATAGAACGGGAGGCAGGTTTTGTCCTGAGCAATTTCCAGCTTGAGTTTTCCTTGTAGCTTAGTGATCTTGGGGCCCCAAGATCTTTTCCTTTCACTACAGTTAATTCTTGTTTTTTGTTTTTGTTTTGTTTTGTTTTGTTTTTTGAGACAGAGTCTTGCACTGTTACCCAGGTGGAGTGCAGTGGCATCATCTCTGCTCACTGCAAGCTCTGCCTCCCGGGTTCACACCATTCTCCTGCCTCAGCCTCCCAAGTAGCTGGGACTACAGTCGCCCGTCACCACACCCGGCTAATTTTTTTGTATTTTTAGTAGAGATGGGGTTTCACCGTGTTAGCCAGGATGGTCTCAATCTCCTGACCTCGTGATCCGCCCATCTCAGCCTCCCAAAGTGCTGGGATTACAGGCGTGAGCCACTGCACCTGGCCCACAACAGTTAATTCTTAAACTTGGGCACGTCACAACTACCTGGAAAACTTGTCAAAACACAGGTTGCTGGGCCCACTTCCAGAATTTTTGCTTCAGCCTGGGATGGGGCCTGAGAATTTGTATCTCTGGCAGGTTCCCATGTTATGCTGATGCTGCTGGCCAACAGCCCATTCTTTGAAAACCACAGCATTAGAGGATAGTAGTTTCTAAATGCAGGGTCCATTTGGTTGGTTCGTGACAATGCTTCCAGAAATTGCAGGAAAGTCAGAAAAAATATGAAATGAAGCAAGCTTTTCATAATGCTAAATGTATTCCATTTGAAGGACTATCCTTTATGCTAAGATTGGGATCTTCCTACTGTTTCTGACATTAAAATTTCCTATCTTCTATGAAAATATGACAAGAGTAGGTGGTGATTCTTTTGTTGGTTGTTTCTTAGTGTCTTTATGTGCCACAATAACAAGTTGGCAGCTCTATGGTGGGCCTTGATTTTTTTTAATTCTTTTTTGGGCCATGAACTCCTAAAATCTAGAAAACACTGCTTCTTAAAGCTCTCCCAAAGTCAAACAGATTCTCAGGTGTCTTTTAAAAAAGCATTATACACTTACTTTTTTTTTTTTTTTGGCCTGGCTGGGTGCTTCTCTGAACATATTTTTTTGATTGACATTTTTACTGATACTTCAAGTGATCATTATCTGCACCTACTGCTATAAAGAGCTGTCAAACTCATGGTCATGCCCTCCAGGAGGCTACTTAAGAAAGAGGACTGTGTGTCCCTCATTAAACCCCCATGCTGCTTTTCTGTTGGGTGCACAGCCATCCTGCTGCCTCTGCAGTTTTCTCTCACCCCCATTAGCATCTCTGCTCCTGCGTCAGCTTCCTCCTTACCCATGCCCCAAGAATGTCATGCCACTGAGCTTATTAAATCAGTGCTTTCATTCCATACATTCATTTAAGTCAATAGTCTGTGACTTTTGGATAGTTTATCCCTGCCAAGAAATGTGGGCATAGGCTTAGTAAATGATCAAAGACATTTGCTCCTTTCTGTTAGGAAATGGTAATGACAGATATTCATGGAGAATTAACACATGCCAGAACTTATCTGGAGTGGCTGAATAACTTGCTCAAGGATAATGGAGAGAAGAGCAGGGACTCTAGCTGGGACTGTCTGAATGAAATGGGTACGGCTAACTTTCACCTGGTTTCATTGTTGTTTTCAACAGTAAGCTACTGTTAGTCTGACCACTAAGTGGAAATATTTTTGTATATTATGCTTACTCACTAATTTTTTTTTAATGTTCTCACTTTGTGAGAAGAAACTGAAATAATTCTTACTCAAGAATTGGTGCCAAGGGCATGGCTCACACATATAATCCCAGCAGTTTGGGAGGCCAAGGTGGGAAGATTGCTTAAGGACAGGAGTTTGAGAGTAGACTGGGGCAGCATAGCCTGACCCCATCTGTACAAAAAATAAATAAATTAGCCGGGTGTGGTGGTGCACACCTGCAGTCCTAGCTACTCCGGAGGCTGAGATGAGAGGATCACTTGAGCCCAGGAGTTTCAGGCTGCAAATAAGCTATGATCGTGCCACTGCACTTCAGCTTGGGCGATGGTGAAATATCCTGTCTTGAAAAAAAAAAGGATCAAACTAAGGACCAGTTGACTTCAGGACACTGGCCTGTGTTGGGCACTGGGCACACAGAGATTGGGGGACAGTCCTTGCCCTCAAGGAGCTGTCCTGCCAAATGGAACCAGCTGTAAGAGAAAAAAAGCAGGGTGGGGGTATGGAAGAGAGGAGGAGGAGGCTGCTATTTTTGTTAAAAAACTTTCACTCTTCTTTGGTCTGTTGGACTACATGCTTGTATCCTATATTTAAGTTGAACAAAGCTGAGACCCATTCTGGCCATCAGTGCCTGATTTGTGACATCTTTCCTAAGAAGTCCAGTGTCCAGCACCTGGTTCCACCACTTACTCTCCTTGGACCAGCTCCCTAATTTCTCTGAACACTGATATATGGGGGGCATGTCCACTTGGTAGAGATGTGTTAAGATTTATATTGAGATGATGGGTGTGTCAAGCCTGGTGCACAACAGGTGCTCAATGTCAGGCCTCTGAGCCCAAGCGAAGCCATCATATCCCCTGTGACCTGCACATACACTCCCAGATGGCCGGTTCCTGCCTTAACTGATGACATTCCACCACAAAAGAAGTGAAAATGGCCTGTTCCTGCCTTAACTGATGACATTGTCTTGTGAAATTCCTTCTCCTGGCTCATCCCGGCTCAAAAGCTCCCCCACTGAGTACCTTGTGACCCCCATTCCTGCCTGCCAGAGAACCCCCTTTTTTCCTTTACCTACCCAAATCCTATAAAATGGCCCCAACCTTATCCCCTTTTGCTGACTTTCTTTTTGGACTCAGCCCACCTGCACCCAGGTGAAATAAACAGCTTTATTGCTCACACAGAGCCTGTTTGGTGGTCTCTTCACATGGACACACATGAAATTTGGTGCCGTGACTCAGACCGGGGGACCTCCCTTGGGAGATCAATCCCTGTCCTCCTGTTCTTTGCTCCATGAGAAAGATCCACCTATGACCTCAGGTCCTCAGACCCACCAGCCCAAGGAACATCTCACCAATTTTAAATCCGGTAAGCGGCCTCTTCTTACTCTCTTCTCCAACCTCTCTCACTATCCCTCAACCACTTTCTCCTTTCCACTCTTCCATCTCTCCCTTCTCTTAATTTCAATTCCTTTCATTTTCTGATAGAGACAAAGGAGACCTGTTTTATCCGTGGACCCAAAACTCCAGCACCAGTCACGGACTGGGAAGGCAGCCTTCCCTTGGTGTTTAATCATTGCAGGGACACCTCTCTGATTATTCACCCACGTTTCAGAGGTGTCAGACCATGCAGGGACACCTGCCTTGGTCCTTCACCCTTAGTGGCAAGTCCCGCTTTTCTGGGGGAGGGGCAAGTACCCCAACCCCTTCTCTCCATGTCTCTACTCCTTCTCCACCTTTCTGGGGGGCAAGAAACCCCCAACCCCTTCTCCTTCACCCTTAGTGGCAAGTCCTGCTTTTCTAGGGGAGGGGCAAGTAGCCCAACCTCGTATCTCTGTGCCCCGAACCCTTATTTCCACGCCCCAACACCTTATATCTCTGTGCCCCAATCCCTTATTTCTGTGCCCCAACCTCTTATACCTCTGCGCCCCAATCCCTTATTTCCATGCCCCTATCTTGTATCTCTGTGCCCCTACCCCTTTCCCACTTTTCTGGAGGGTAAGAACCCCCGAACCCCTTCCCTCCGTGTCTCTACTCTCTTCTCTGGGCTTGCCTCCTTCACTATGGGCAACCTTCCACCTTCCATTCCTCCTTCTCCCTCAGCCTATGTTCTTAAGAACTTAAATCCTCTTCAACTCTCACCTGACCTAAAATCCAAGTGTCTTATTTTCTTCTGTAATGCCGCTTGACCCCAATACAAACTCGACAGTAGTTCCAAATAGCCAGAAAATGGCACTTTCAATTTTTCCATCCTACAAGATCTAAATAATTCTTGTCGTAAAATAGGCAAATGGTCTGAGGTGCCTGACAGCCAGGCATTCTTTTACACATCAGTCCCTCTCTAGTCTCTGTTCCCAATGCAGCTTATCCCAAATCTTCCTTCTTTCTCTCCCACCTGCCCCCTCAGTCCCAACCCCAAGCGCCTCTGAGTCTTCCTAATCTTCCTTTTCTACAGACCCATCTGACCTCTCCCCTCCTCCCCAGGCTGCTCCTTGCCAGGCCAAGCTAGGTCCCAATTCTTCCTCAGCCTCTGCTCCTCCACCCTATAATCCTTTTATCACCTCTCCTCCTCACACCTGGTCTGGCTTACAGTTTTGTTCCGTGACTAGCCCTCCCCCACCTGCCCAGCAATTTACTCTTAAAAAGGTGGCTGAAGCTAAAGGCATAGTCAAGATTAATGCTCCTTTTTCTTTATCAGACCTCTCCCAAATCAGTGAGCATTTAGGCTCTTTCATCAAATATGAAAAACCCAGCCCAGTTCATGACTTGTTTGGCAGCAACCCTGAGACGCTTTACAGCCTAGACCCTAAAAGGTCAAAAGGCCATCTTATTCTCAATATACACTTTATTGCCCAATCTGCTCCCGACATTAAATAAAACTCCAAAAATTAAATTCCGGCCCTCAAACCCCACAACAGGATTTAATTAACCTCGCCTTCAAGGTGTACAATAATAGAAAACAGTTGCAATTCCTTGCCTCCACTGTGAGACAAACCCCAGTCACATCTCCAGCACACAAGAACTTCCAAACGCCTGAACCGCAGTGGCCAGGTGTTCCTCCAGAACCTCCTCCCCCAGGAGCTTGCTACAAGTGCCAGAAATCTGGCCACCAGGCCAAAGAATGCCTGCAGCCCAGGTTTCCTCCTAAGCCACATCCCATCTGTGCGGGACCCCACTGGAAATCAGACTGTCCAACTCACCTGGCAGCCACTCCCAGAGCCCCTGGAACTCTGGCCCAAGGCTCTCTGACTCCTTCCCAGATCTTCTTGGCTTAGCGGCTGAAGACTGACGCTGCCCGATTGCCTTGCAAGCCCCCTCGACCATCACGGACGCTGAGCTTCGGGTAACTCTCACAGTGGAGGGTAAGTCCGTCTCCTTCTTAATCAATACAGAGGCTACTCACTCTACATTACCTTATTTTCAAGGGCCTGTTTCTCTTGCTTCCATAACTGTTGTGCGTATTGACGGCCAGGCTTCTAAACCTCTTAAAACTCCCCAGCTCTGGTGCCAACTTAGACAATACTCCTTTATGCACTCCCTTTTAGTTATCCCCACCTGCCCAGTTCCCTTATTAGGCCGAGACACTTTAAATTATCTGCTTCCCTGACTATTCCTGGATTACAGCTGCATCTCATTGCTGCCCTTCTTCCCAATCCAAAGCCTCCTTTGCGTTCTCCTCTTGTATCCCCCCACCTTAACCCACAAGTATAAGATACCTCTACTCCCTCCTTGGCAACCGATCATGCACCCCTTACCATCTCATTAAAACCTAATCACCCTTACCCAGCTCAATGCCAATATCCCATCCCACAGCATGCTTTGAAAGGATTAAAGCCTGTTATCACTCACCTGCTACAGCATTGCCTTTTAAAGCCTATAAACTCTCCTTATGATTCCCCCATTTTACCTGTCCTAAAACCAGACAAGACTTACAGGTTAGTTCAGGATCTATGCCTTATCAACCAAATTGTTTTGCCTATCCACCCTGTGGTGCCAAACCCATATACTCTCCTATCCTCAATACCTCCCTCCACAACCCATTATTCTGTTCTGGATCTCAAACATGCTTTCTTTACTATTCCTTTGCACCTTTCATCCCAGCCTCTCTTTGCTTTCACTTAGACTGACCCTGACACCCATTAGGCTCAGCAAATTACCTAGGCTGTACTGCCTCAAGGCTTCACAGACAGCCCCCATTACTTCAGTCAAGCCCAAATTTCATCCTCATCTGTTACCTCTCTCGGCATAAGTCTCATAAAAACACACGTGCTCTCCCTGCTGATCGTGTCTGATTAATCTCCCAAACCTCAATCCCTTTCAAAACAACAACTCCTTTCCTTCCTAGGCATGGTTAGTGGGGTCAGAATTCTTACACAAAAGCCAGGACCGCCCCCTGTAGCCTTTCTGTCCAAACAAATTGACCTTACTGTTTTAGCTTAGCCCTTATGTCTTCATGCAGCGGCTGCCACTGCTTTAATACTTTTAGAGGCCCTAAAAATCACGAACTATGCTCAACTCACTCTCTACATGTCTCATAACTTCCAAAATCTATTTTCTTCCTCATACCTGATTCATATACTTTCTGCTCCCCCGCTCCTTCAGCTGTACTCACTTTTTGTTAACTCCCACAATTATCATTGTTCCTGGCCCAGACCTCAATCTGGCCTCCCACATTATTCCTGATACCACACCTGACCCCCATGACTGTATCTCTCTGATCCACCTGACATTCACCCCATTTCCCCATATTTCCTTCTTTCCTGTTCCTCACCCTGATCATGCTTGATTTATTGATGGCAGTTCCACCAGGCCTAATCGCCACACACCAGCAAAGGCAGGCTATGCTATAGTACAAGCCACAAGCCTGCCTCTTAAAACCTCTCATTTTCTTTCCATCATGGAAATCTATCCTCAAGGAAATAACCTCTCAGTGTTCCATCTGCTATTCTACTACTCCTCAGGGATTATTCAGGCCCCCTCCCTTCCCTACACATCAAGCTCGAAGATTTGCCCCCACCCAGGACTGGCAAATTAGCTTTACTCAACATGCCCCGAGTCAGATAACTAAAATACCTCTTAGTCTAGGTAGACACTTTCACTGGATAAGTAGAGGCCTTTCCTACAGGGTCTGAGAAGGCCACCGCAGTCATTTCTTCCCTTCTGTCAGACATAATTCCTCAGGTTAGCCTTCCTACCTCTATACAGTCTGATAACAGACCAGCCTTTATTAGTCAAATCAGCCAAGCATTTTTTCAGGTTCTTAGTATTCAGTGAAACCTTTATATCCCTTACAGTCCTCAGTCTTCAAGAAAAGTAGAATGGACTAAAGGTCTTTTAAAAACACACGTCACCAAGCTCAGTCACCAACTTACAAAGGACTGGACAATACTTCTACCACTTTCCCTTCTCAGAAGTCATACCTGTCCTCAGAATGCTACAAGGCAGAGCCCATTTGAGCTCCAGTATAGACACTCCTTTTTATTAGGCCCCAGTCTCATTCCAGACACCAGACCAACTTAGACTGTGCCCCCAAAAAACTTGTCATCCCTACTGTCTTCTCTCTAGTCATACTTCTATTGACTGTTTTCAACTACTCATACATGCCCTGCTCTTGTTTACAATGCCGGTTTACACTCTTTCTCCAAGCCATCACAGCTGATATCTCCTAGTGCTATCCCCAAACTGCCACTCTTAACTCTTGAAATAAATAAATAATCTTTGCTGACAGGACTATGCTGAATCTCCTTAGGCACTCTCTAATCAGATGTCCTGAGTCGTCCCAATTCTTAGACCTTTCATACCTGTTTTTCTCCTTCTCTTATTCCATTTAGTTTTTCAATTCATACAAAACTGTATCCAGGCCATCACCAATAATTCTAAATGACAAATGTTCCTTCTAACAACCCCACAATATCACCCCTTACCACAAAATCTTCCTTCAGCTTAATCTCTCCCACTCTAGGTTCCCACGCCGCCCCTAATCCCGCTCAAAGCAGCCCTGAGAAACATCGCCCATTATCTCTCCATACCGTCCCTCAAAATTTTTGCCATCCCAACACTTTACCACTGTTTCATTTTATTTTTCTTATTAATATAAGAAGACAGGAATGTCAGGCCTCTGAGCCCAAGCGAAGCCATCATATCCCCTGTGACCTGCACATACACATCCAGATGGCTGGTTCCTGCCTTAACTGATGACATTCCACCACAAGAGAAGTGAAAATGGCCTGTTTCTGCTTTAACTGATGACATTGTCTTGTCCTTCTCCTGGCTAATCCTGGCTCAAAAGCTCCCCCACTGAGTACCTTGTGACCCCCACTCCTGCCCGCCAGAGAACAACCCCCCATTTTCCTTTACCTATCCAAATCCTATAAAACAGCCCCACACTTATCTCCTTTCACTGACTCTCTTTTCGGACTCGGCCCACCTGCACCCAGGTGAAATAAACAGCTTTATTGCTCACACAAAGCCTATTTGGTGGTCTCTTCACACAGACGTGCATGAAACTCAATACCTGTTATTATTGAGTCAGAAGATTTTCCCTCCTTTTAAGTACTTACTCAGTATTGGACAGCTTGGGAAGTATAATATTTAGCACATTCTACTTTTTACTGTTGTATTTAATCACATTATTGTATTATATTTAAATGTAAAGCATTTAGAACTGTGCTTGTATTAGTTAGGGTTCAATAGAGAAACAGAACCAATAGGATAGATGGATGAATGGATGGATACATAGACAGACGACAGACAGAGATAGATAGATAGACAGACAGATAGATAGATAGATAGATAGATAGATAGATAGATAGATAGATAAAAGGAGATTTATTATGGGAATTGGCTCATGCAATTATGGAGGCTGAGAAGTCCCATGGTATGCTGTCCACAAGATGGAGAACCAGGGAACAGTGGCTTCGCTCATTCCAAGTTCAAGTCTGAAGGCCTGAGAACCAGGGAAGCTGATAGTGTAACTCTTAGGCCAAAACCAAAGGCTCAAGGACCTCAGGGGGCCACAGTAAGTTTCCCAATCTGAAAGCCGAAGAACCTGAATTTCTGAGGACCTAGAGTAAAAGAAGATAGGTATCCTAGCTCCAGAAGAGAGAGCAAAGTCATCTTTCCTCTGCCTTTTTGTTTTATCTGGGACCTCAACCAATTGGGTGGTGCCCACCCATACCGAGGATCTTCCTTGCTCGGTCTACTGATTCAAATGCTAGTTCTCTTCTGCTTTATCGGCGATCTGGGTATTCCCTAACCCAGTCAAGTTGACACTAAAATTAATCATCACAGTGCCTGACAAATAAGACATGCTCAATAAATATGACCTGTTACCACTACTGTGATTGGCATTGCTTTTTCTGCATACACATCTTACCTACTAAATTAAGATCCATGGGACAGAAGTCCTGCTGAATATACTCATATTTCCTCTCAATCTATGCCTAGCAGTGCTAGACACATAATAGTCACTTGATGAACATTTATGGAAAGGATTATTGCCTATCTTATACCATTATGACATGTATGTGATATGCCCAGCATTTTTAGTGAAGGTTGTATTTTTCGTACAGTTTGTTAGTGCTTCATACTGCCTGCTTTATAGCTAGCTGTTTTCATATCTTCCCCATTGGTCCATGACTGTCCTTTTGGCAAGGACTGAGTCTCTGTCATTTAAGACCCAGCTCAGTTTATTATCTGTCATTGAAACTGCATATACAGAAAAGTATTTACATGAAATTAATGGTACTTCAGCTTCAGAGCTACTCACTTGATAGATCATCTCCTGAAGCCCTGGTTAATGAGTATACTCAATTCAGAAAGCAGAGATTGTTCACTACATGAGAAAATTTGAAATGCTTTGAAACCTTACAGCTCATAATTAAAAGAAACTTAATAGCTGGACGCGGTGGCTCACGCCTGTAATCCCAATACATCGGGAGGCCGAGACAGGCAGATCACCTGAGGTCAGGAGTTCAAGACCAGCCTGGCCAACAAGTGAAACTCCATCTCTACTAAAAATACAGAAATTAACCAGGCGTGATGGCAGGCACCTGTAATCCCATCTACTCGGGAGGCTGAAGCAGGAGAATCGCTTGAACCCGGGAGGCAGAGGTTGCAGTGAACCAAGATCTTGCCACTGCACTCCAGCCTGAGTGACAGAGTGAGACTTCATCTCAAAAAAAAAAAAAAAAAAGAAACTTAATAGAGCCTTTACCAAATTTGACAACAATCAAAGTGTATTATAGTATTAACAATAGCTATTTATATACCTAAAACTGTTCCAAACTATCAATAATAAAAAAATAAATTTTAATCAACCATGTTGGAAGGTCTGGATTATCATTTTATTCTCTCTATATAAAATGCAAAAAAATTGTTGTCACATGAAGAAATGATAAAAGAGAATGTAGCCCCAAAATGTAGGGGGGAAAAGTATTAGAGAAGTGTATCTGGCAGTTTAATTAAAATATAACATTATTTTACTAGATTTTGTGATATGTGTGATTTAATTCACTTTTTTTTCTTTTTCTTTTTTTTTTGAGATGGAGTCTCGCTTTGTCTCCCAGGCTGGAGTGCAGTGGCTCAATCTCAGCTCACTGCAAGCTCCACCTCCTGGGTTCACGCCATTCTTCTGCCTCGGCCTCCCAAGTAGCTGGGACTACAGGCGCCCACCACCACGCCTGGCTAATTTTTTGTACTTTTTAGTAGAGACAGGGTTTCACGGTGTTAGCCAGGATGGTCTCGATCTCCTGACCTCATGATCCACCCGCCTCGGCCTCCCAAAGTGCTGGGATTACAGGCATGAGCTACTGTGACCGGGCCTTCACTTTTTTTTTTTTTTGAGATGGAGTCTCGCTCTGTCATCCAGACTGGAGTGCCTGTCCAAGGATCACATTCTGAGCCGTCAGGCCCTGGACTTCATGAAGTCCTTGCTTTACCAGTCTATGTTTCTCTACTGTGTAACTTGAGAAGAATTTCACTGGTGATTTCTCGTTCTGTCTGTCTTCCCCTTACACCGGTGGTTCTCAACCAGGGAAGAGTTTACCTCCTAGGGGACATGTGGCAATGTCTGGAGGCATTTCTGGTTGTCACAACTCGGTGGAGGGTGCTAGTGGCATCTAGCTACTACTAAACAATCTGCAATACCTAAGACATCCCCACAGCAATAATTATCTGACCAAAAATGTCAATAATATTGAGGTTGACAAGCCTTGCTTCATGAGGGTTGGGCATAGAACATCTCATTTCGGCCAGGTGCGATGGCTCATGCCTGTAATCCCAGCACTTTGGGAGGCTGAGGCGGGCAGATCACGAGGTCAGGAGATCAAGACCATCCTGGCCAACATGGTGAAACCCAGTCTCTACTAAAAAAAATACAAAAATTAGCTGGGTGTGGTGGTGTGCACCTGTAATCCCAGCTACTCAGGAGGCTGAGGCAGAAGAATGGCTTGAACCCGGGAGGCAGAGATCCAGCCTGGCAACAGAGCAAGACTCTGTCTCAAAAAAAAAAGAACATCTCATTTTCTGTTTTATGTCCAGCGTCTGGCAGCATGCCTGGCTTATAGTAAAGCATAGCCACAGGTCCCTAAGCATGCTGTCCTCCATTCTCCATCCCAATTGTAAAACTTTCCATGTTCTATACCTTTCCATCCATGATGGCAGCTGGAAGTTATGAAATAAACCCCTGATATCATAAAGTTCCACCCAGAAGAAAATTAAAACCAATAAATAACAGGGGATACAAGCTAATACGAAGGAACATTATGACTACTCTGAAGATGTTTAATACTCAATGATTTACTGATTGCTTTCTTAAATGAATGAGTGTTGACTCAAGAACATTGGTCAGAAAGTTTGTCACTGACCTGACCACAAAGAAGGTTGTAGTCACAAAGGAACAGCAAGAACTGCTCTTGAGAATGATCATAAAGGGTGAAAACACTCTGGCCTGCCACAGCACCAAGGATAGAAATGGTAATGACACTGATTTCTGCTGACTGCCTTTGGATCACTATGACTGGTCAGTCTGGGACATTCACTTGTTTTTCTTATCTAGAAAGCCCTGAGAACTAAACATTTTGGCAATCTGGAAAAGGAGACTGGTGGATGAATTTCCTCCATGGTGGGCTGGTCTTAAGCAAACTCCTTTTATGTGTGATATGGGAGATACTGAAAGGCCAGATGGAGCAACCAGCTAAGTATCTAAAATTCCTACCATTTAAACAACAAAGAGATCATTGTTTTATAATTCATTTATAATTGTCTGTTGATTTATCATGGTGATATAAAGGTGGAGACATTGGGGGCCGGGCGTGGTGGCTCACGCCTGTAATCCCAGCACTTTGGGAGGCCGAGGTGGGTGGATCATGAGGTCTGGAGATCAAGACCATCCTGGCTAACACGGTGAAACCCTATCTCTACTAAAAATACAAAAAAATTAGCTGGGTGTGATGGCGGGTGCCTGTAGTCCCAGCTACTCGGGAGGCTGAGGCAGGAGAATGGCTTAAACCCAGGAGGCAGAGCTTGCAGTGAGCCGAGATCGAGCCACTGCACTCCAGCCTGGGCAACAGAGCGAGACTCCATCTCAAAAAAAAAAAAAAAAAAAAAAAGGTGGAGACATTGTTATTCTTATATCCTGTGGGTAGCATGTTTAGAGAGTGATTTTGCAATAGGTTGTGTTGTTTGTTTTTTTGTAGAGATGGGGTCTTGCTATGTTGCCCAGGCTGGTCTCAAAACATGAGCTCAAGCTATCCTCCTACCTCAGCCTCCCAAAATGCTGGGATTATAGGTGTGAGCCATCATGCCTGGCTTAGGTTTTAAAATATAAATTTATTTTAAGAAAATTTTATAAGTTTTGTAACAGTTGTCAGCATCAAAATGGAGTCACTAATGTCAAGAAAACCCTGATAAATAGAGCTGGGAAGGCCGTGAAAAGAGGGTTATCATGTATGCCCGATAACAGAAAAAGACTACGAAAACCACAACCTTGGACTAAAGGCCATCACAAGCTTACATAAAAAATGCTTCTGCAAGGACATCTGCCCAGAAACTTCCTGTGTACTCTCGGTAAGGCATAACCCTTGTTACTTATCTTTGCAGCCAAGGATAATTATTTCAAAACAATTGTGTAATCCTCCTTATTTTTTCCTTTAAAAATCTTTGTCTTCCTTTACCTCCCTGAAAATGTACATAGCTTAGCATGGCACATGTATTCCCATCACAATGTTTTATTCCCAAATATATTTCTTTTAGAGAGCCTCTCGTTGTTATTTAGGTTGACAGTTTGAAAATGTGAATAATAAGGGAAATTCACTGAAACTTTGCTCATCATAACAAAAGTTTAAAAACACTTAAATGTCTTTCAATAATAGACTTTTTGAATAAATTAAGCTACACACATATAGGTGTGCACACACCTAAACACATACACCTGAATACACACATTGGAATACAAAGAAACCATATGTCTATTGTATATTGTTAAGTTTTTTAAAAACAAATTGTAAAGCTCCTGTAGAGTTGCTCTTATTTTATTAAATACTATACATACGTGTATATGGGCCTAGAGATATGTCTAAAAGGAATGTCATGAAAATGTGAACTTCAGTCATCTGCATGATGGAATGAGTCAATTTTTAGTTTCCTCTCTGTACTTCCCTGTATAGTTTGAATTGTTTAGAAAAGCATATGCCATGTTTACAGAAGCAATACAATGATTTTTACATAAAATATAATGTTATAGCTGTTATTAATCTCCTTTCAAGAAAATATTATTGCTTCAAAGACAGCCATGCTAATAAGGGCTAATTTGTCAGATTGATTCATTGACATCTTGGGAAGAAGACATCAGCAACCCAAAGGGAAAGGATACAGGAGACGTACTCTGTGGCTTTGCTATGCATACCCTGAAGATGTCCAGCTATCATTTCTTTTCACCAGACCAGATGACCTCTAATTCATCTTCCCTCCCACTCTAACCCCAAGACTGATTCTAAACCTACATTCTCTGCCATGCTGGTAAACATCCTTGTCATCCAAGCAAAATGCCCGGAAATCATCTTTGACTCCTTTTCTTTTTTCCTACCTTCTCCTTCAATCTGTCTCCAACTATTCATCTACTTTCCATTTCTACTGATACTGCCTTAGCTTTGTAACCTCATCAGTTCTCACCTGGATTTTTGTCGGCATCCTACCTGGCCTCACTCCTGCTCACCACTGATTTGTCTCCCTTCCTGCAGTCAGAGCAATTATCCTAAATATTGTGAGAATGGTGGCACTCTCTCTTCAAAAATCTCCCAGTAGTTCTCTATTGTTTGTACTGTACAGGATAAACTTTCAGTTCCCCTAAATATCACATCCACTCACCTGCTTCTGAGCTTTTTGGGCATGGCATCCCTCTTCTGGAATGCTCTTATTCCTTAGACCCAATACTTCACCTGGCTAACTTCCACTTATCCTGTGGTATCTCTGCTTAGTCATCACTTCCTCTCAGAAGCCCTTCGGGACTGCATATATCTATCTACCTATCAATGGATTGATTGATAGATAGATATCTTCATGTGCTTCCATAATACCCTTATCATAGTACTTATGATGTTGATTTATAATTAATTCTTGATTGCCTAGATCCACACATGATCTGTCAGGAAAAGAATTGTGTCTAATTCACTACTGTGTCCCCAGCATTTTGCACAATTCCCGCACATTTAAAATCATTGAATGAATGTGCTGCAGAAATGGTTAATTTCCATCTGAAATTGGTTCCCCTTATTTTGCTAGATGTTGCTGTATATGATGTAGCACCTGGAACATGGCTGCTCTGCCCTCATCAGGGGAGTTAACCTGAGAAGACAGAGTAGGCAAAAGATAAAAAGAACTGGGTCTTTCAAATTGTCACTGAACCAATGAATTAACCAACTCTTGGTCAATCTGCATTCGGACTTCTTTTTTGTTTTGGACAGGGTCAGTCTATCACCCAGGCTGGAGTACAGTGGTGCTATCCATAGATCACTGCAGCCTCAACCTTCCGGATTCAAACGATTCTCCTGCCTCAGCCTCCCAAGTAGCTGGGATTATAGGTATGCACCACCATGCCAGGCTAATTTTTGGATTTTCAGTAGAGACGGGGTTTCACCATGTTGGCCAGGCTGGTCTCGAACTCCTGACCTCAAGTGACCCACCTCCCCCAGGCCTCCCAAAGTGCTGGGATTACAGGCATGAGCCACCAACCTTGGCCTGTTAGGGCTTTACTTTAAAACAAAGAAAACAAAGGTAATACTATATATATTTTTTTTTTTCTTTTTTCTTTTTTGAGACAGAGTCTTGCTCTGCTGCCCAGGCTGGAGTGCAGTGGCATGATCTCAGCTCATTGCAAGCTCTGCCTCCTGGGTTCACGCCATTCTCCTGTCTCAGCCTCCTGAGTAGCTGGGACTACAGGCACCCGCCACCACACCCAGCTAATTTTTTGTATTTTTAGTAGAGATGGGGTTTCACCACATTAGCCAGGATGGTCTTGATCTCCTGACCTTGTGATCTTCCCGCCTCAGCCTCCCAAAGTGCTGGGATTACAGGCGTGAGCCACCGCACCTGGCCAAACAAAGGTAATATTCTTAAAGAAGTTCCAGGATTAATACTCAGTCCAATCTCCTAAATTTTAGCATGCATAAGAATAACGTAGCTGACTTCTTAAAAAGTAGATTTCTGGCCCCACTTCTGGAGATTTAGCTTCAGTGGGATATGGTAGAGTCTAGGACTCTGCATTTTAGCAAGCATTCTGATGTAGTTGGTCTACAAACCACACTTCAACAAACCCTGTTCTAAAACTTCTACTTCATATCTATGGAACGGAACCACATGAATGGCTCCCAACTTCTGGATCTTTCCATCATTTGAATCTGCTCCCTTGATTATTGTGTGAAGTGTAGTTTGCAGACCAACTGCATTAGAATTCTCTATTCACCAGAATAAGACATTGATCAGGTAAGTCACTTAACCTGAGTCTAAATGTCCCCATTTATTTAAAAAAAAATACATATTAATTCCCTGCATTGCCACTCCTGAGACTGGTTGCAAAGATCAAATGATCTCAGTAGCTGCACTGTACAAATATAAGAAAATGCAATTTGTTAGGACTCTGGTATTTATCATGCTCCTTTACTGAAGAAAAAAAAAACTGTTCTTTACACTCTATTTATTAAGAAAGAAATAGAGGCTCACATTGTAGAAAGATTGCTACGTGGTCAAACTATAAAAGGGGTTTACCTAGTTAACCTGAAAAGTTCTTGCCCAGAACATCCTATTCCTAAGCATTCTGACTGTCTGCATGCTCCATCAACTCTGTAAGTAATGTATAATATGAATAGATTCCCTGACAAAGGAAGCTGCTTTGACTCCAGCAAAAATTAGTAGGTCCAAGGTTATATATCATATGATTCCATTCATATGACCTTCTGGAAAAAAAACAAAACTATAGTGACAGAACAGGGCAATGATTGCCAGGGGCTAGGAGGTAGGGGAGAGTATGACTACAAAGGGGCAGCAGAGGGAGTTTTTTGGGGTGGTGGAACTATTCTGTATCCTCATTGTGGTAGTAGTTACAGGAATCCTCATCATGCTAAAATTCATCAGCTGTACAAAGATTAAGCAGTTTTACTATATGTTAACTTAAAAAATTAATTAATTGATTGGCTCAACTCAAGTGACTGCTTTCCTTACCTGGATAAAAGCAACCCAAAGGATTAGAGTTTGGGGAGACAGAAAAGAAGAATCAGAAATATGAGGAGGGTAGGCAGGAAGAGAGAATGAGAAACGTGCACACTGAATAAACAATTGTTCTGAGTACTTTTTCACTTTTTTGTTGTTGAGACAGCCTGTTGCTAACACTAGTATGCAGTGGCGTGATCATGGCTCACTGCAGCCTTGACCTCCCAGGCTCAAGTGATCGGTCCTCCCACCTCAACCTCCTGAGTAGTTGAGACTACAAGTGCATGCCACAATGCCCAGCTTTTTTTTTTATTCTTTTTTTTTTTTTTTTAGAGACAGGGTCTTGCTATGTTGCCCAGGCTTGTCTTGAATTCTTGGGCTCAAGCAATCTGCCCCTCTTGGCCTCTCAAAGTGCTGAGATTACAGGCATGAACCACCACACCCAGCCTGAGTACTTTTTTATTCCTTTCCTTTTTTGGGAGTTGTTTCCTAAAGATCAGTTGTATCTACTTTCTGGGACTCCATCCTTCTCTTCCCAAGTATAAAACTATTCTGATTAACCAGTAATTTCCACTGTTTCTCCTACACAACACTCTTCAGTTAATTTTTAGGTAAATTTTACTTTCCAGATTACCTCACACCCCCAAAATAATCAGAATGGTTAAGCTTCTAAAGCAAAGCCCTCTTTAACAGAGTCAGACAGAATCGGGGAGAGGCATTTTTCACATTGGCTTTCCTCTTCATACTTCACTGTCCCCCTGTTGGTTGGAGCTTCTAGAGATGTAATACAAGACAAATCTGTAATTTTAAATTTTCTAGTAGCCACCTTAAAAAAGTAAATAAAACAGGTGAAATTAATTCTAATACTATATTTTACTTAATATATCAAAATGTTATTTCAACATGTCATTAACATAAAAATTACTAATGAGCTATTTTGCATTTTTTCTTTGTACTAAGTCTTTGAAATCCAGTGTGTGTTTTACTCTTAAAGGGCATTTCAGTTTGGACTAGCCACATACCAGTAGCTCATAGCTGTTGTGTAAGACAGTACAGGTCCAGGCTATTTATTTTTGAAGTCCAGTGCAAACAACCTCTCATTCTTTGCACTTTGATAACTTGAATATTTGAGCCTACAATCTTCATTCATTCATTGGTCAACAGCCGCTGGAGTGTTTACTGTGCACAAAGCACCGTGCTAGAAGCTGGAAGGACAAAAGTGAACAAGACATTGTTTGCCCTAAGGCTCAGTCTGTGGGGGTGAGAGACACATAAAGAGACAATTATAAAATAACATGAAAGAACGGTGACAGAGATGCACACTATTTAATGAGCATCTGGATGGGCAGGGGAGTGCTCTAAATGTTTCAGAGGTGGCCCTGAGCTGGCTTCGGAATGTGTGAGGTGAACTCTGAGAAGGGGATGGGAAAGGGCATTCAGAGGTACTAGCTTGACCAGAGGCGCGCAAATGAGGAATGCTGAGGCCCAGGGAGCCTCCTGAGTGCATGTCAGGGCAGAGATGAATGGAGAGGGAACTGGATAGGTATGCAAGGCCAGACAGAGAAGAACCTGGTATGTCATGTTTAGCTTCTAAACTAAAACATCTCGAAAACTTCCTAAAATTCCATATGAAATGCAAATGGCGCTGGATTTCAGCTTTTGCTGGTAACCGTGGCAGCTCCCCTACACTGGTTGCTGAGTGAGGGCAGGGCCATCTGCTTTGCTCACCACCCTACCCGAGGCTTGCAACACTGCCTGGCACAGAGCGGGCCTGGGGAGTTTACTCGGGCTGAAATGCCTTCCTTCATTCTTTCTCCTCCGGGCCTCCCATCTGCCTCAGTGAACTGGAAAAAGAGGAAGAGTGCCAGCCATAGCCTTCCATGCTTCCAATGGCCTCTGGAGTTCACGAACAGGTCTTCACCTTTCTGGGCTGCTTCCAAGTGTACACAATGGAGCTCACCACTCCCCACTGCCCAGGACTGCTGTGTAGCTCAAATGAATTCGTGGAAAGTGCCCCCTAAAAATGAAAAGATGCCTCTGGAGACCTTGCGCACACCGAGTGGCACGACCTGCAGAGGTTACCGCCAGGTTTCCATCCTCCGCGCCCGGGAACCGCCTGTCCGGCCAAAGGGTGACTGACTCAGGGCCGGGGCGCCTCCCAGCCCTCCGGCGGAAAGCCACTGCAAAACCGCTTAAGGCGCGTTTGGAAGAGGCGGCCCCGCAGCCCCGAGGGCCTGGGGCCCTGAGTCCCAACTGCCCACCCCCAGTATTCGCAGCGGACCCCACCGGCACCCAGTCCCTGGCACCCCCGCCTCGCGCGGCGGCGGGGAGAAAAGGGTGGAGCGGTCCGACTCCCGCAGCCAATGAAAGCTGCGGGTTCCTGGTCCGATCCCCG
Organism: Homo sapiens; assembly: GCF_000001405.40. Classification (NCBI taxonomy): domain Eukaryota; kingdom Metazoa; phylum Chordata; class Mammalia; order Primates; family Hominidae; genus Homo; species Homo sapiens. Next base: position 54,887,309 of record NC_000001.11, on the reverse strand, counting down.
GCGCGGCTCGCCATTGGTCGCCGCCCGGGTCTCGGCCCACCGAACCTCGGCGACCCGAGCCAATCGCGAGGCGGCGGGCGATCCCGGGCTCCCCGGGCTGTGGGCTACAGGCGCAGAGCGGGCCAGGCGCGGAGCTGGCGGCAGTGACAGGAGGCGCGAACCCGCAGCGCTTACCGCGCGGCGCCGCACCATGGAGCCCGCCGTGTCGCTGGCCGTGTGCGCGCTGCTCTTCCTGCTGTGGGTGCGCCTGAAGGGGCTGGAGTTCGTGCTCATCCACCAGCGCTGGGTGTTCGTGTGCCTCTTCCTCCTGCCGCTCTCGCTTATCTTCGATATCTACTACTACGTGCGCGCCTGGGTGGTGTTCAAGCTCAGCAGCGCTCCGCGCCTGCACGAGCAGCGCGTGCGGGACATCCAGAAGCAGGTGAGCGGCGCCGGGTGCGGCCGGGACTCAGGGCCGGAGGCGGCGTGCGCGGGGATAGCGGGACGCGAGGTGGCGACGGGAGCTGCGGTGCGGGGGCGGCCAGGACTTCCTGGGGGGGTGGGGAGCTGGCGTTGGAGAGGGGTTGGAACGAAACAAAAATGTGATGGGGGCGGGGGAACAGAACAGGCAAAGTGCCCACTGTGTGCAGGGCATATGCGGGTACCTGGAGGGAGATGAAGAAGGGGAAGAGGGGGAGGTGCGAAGCACTCAGGTAACTCTCACCCGGCCCAAGCATTTCAGAGAAGGAAAGGCTTCCGGGAGGTGGAGCTGGGTCTAGAGATTGGGAAGTATGGGAAATGATTGGGGGAAGGTGTGTGGGTGGAGGGACTGGTGTGAGCAAATGCTGGGAAGCCGACAAGTGCAGGGCAGGGGCGGGAGAACGTCGGAAAAGTCCGTTTGGTGCTAGGCTGGAGAGGGGCCTTGATGCCAAGGCCGAGTTTGGACTTTATTTTGTACAGCAAGACGCTTTTGATTGGGTTTAGGATAGAAGACTAAAGCAAGAAGGTAGAACCCAGCCCAGAAGCGGGAGGGAAGAACCTCACAGCCTCTGCTGACGGAGGGCTCACTCCTTGACAAAGGCAGTCGGTCCATCTCTCAGTTCCTCAGGCACCCACGGAGCCTGTGACCTGCTGTGGCTCACAGTGGAGCCTCCTCTGCATCCAGGGACTTGGGCAGTTTCTTGACTCCCTCTGCTTCTCTTTATGTTCCTCTCTTGTTGGCATCAGGTTGCAGAGAGCTTCTGTTTCCTGCTGCCACCCTTCCGTAGGTGTAGCAGCCTCCATATTCTGCTTGCTCCGCGCTGGGTGCTTCAGGCAAGAGCATGAAGATGGATGCGGAGAGACGTTCCCATGAGGCATAAGACCTGGGGCCTGGTGGGAGAACGCAGTGTCTGGAAGTGCTTTGCCCTGTAGCTCTGGATTTTGCTGGTCACAGTCATGGCTCCAGAGCCTCTGCGTGTCCTCCCTCCCCACCTGCACCCTGTTTCCTAGCTCTTTTCTCGAGTTCAAATTCTCCATTTACCTGCTTGTCTCCCCTGTCAGACTGTGAGCTCCTAGAATGCAGGGACTGTTATGTGACTCGCCTGTGGCCCATAGGGCCTGGCTCAAAACAGCCTAGCGAGTGCCTATTAATCTTGGCTAAGCCACAAGATTCACTGTGAGCAGGAAAACAGGGGCCCAGCTGGACTAGCCTCTACCCCAGACCTGCCATGTGCCATTGCCATCCTCACAGCAACCCTGGTAGATCTTGTGCCTATCTTACAAACAGGGAAAATTGAGTTTCAGAGTGTGAGTCATGTGCTCAGGAAGACTAGTCAGTAAATGGGGCTAGAACCTAGGTTAGCTCGATTTCAGAGCCTGAACTCTGACATTTCTTCTTTCCCAGGCTTTCCCTTCCCCCCTATAGGTCTGGTTCAGTTGCCTCACACCTGGCTTGTAATAGCTGTCTGACCTAGTTGCCCTTTTTTCTGGGCTCTCTGTTTGGCCTCCAGCTTCAGTGCAGCACCCCTAATCACTCCCTCCCATCTCTGGGCTTGTGTCAAACTCCGTGGCTGCAGATTCAGGCAGGGACGAGACCTGGTTGGTCGTGGAATCCTACCTATCATCCCTTTTCCCCCAAATCACAGGAATCTCTTCCTTAATACCTGCCCTGGCCTCTGATCAAAGAAAAGTCCTTCCCCGTGTTGAGCTGTTTGCCTAGCCAGCTCCAGTGCAGCCTTCTCCAGGAGACCTGACCAGTATTTGACCAGACTTTTGGTTGCAAGTGAAAGAAGCTCAATTCAAACTGACTTGAGCAAAAAGGGATTTTATTGGCTCAGGTCCTGAAAAGTCTGGGAGTACAACTGGATCAGGCATGGCTGGATCCAGGATCCTCTGTCCCCCATCTCCATCTGTCCATCCCTCTGCCATCTGTTGGCCCTGCTTTTCTAGGTTGACTTCATTCTCTGGAGCCTCTCTCCCTGCAGAGGCCCCAACAGTTTCTGGCTCATATCCAACCGGCTTAGCGACCCCAGTAAAGAGAGAGTGGCTGTCCTGGAACTGGTCTCATTGGCTTGACTTAATGAGATGTCATTAATCTGTCTCTGGCCAGAAGTATAGAATCAGTCCTCAGTCATGTACCCACCTCCTGGGGTAGGGGAGTAGAATCAGTCTCACTTGGACCAAAGGAAGATGGGGATTGTTAGAAGTGGATGAAGAGGAAATGGATGGTCACAGGTCAAAATGACAAATATCCACCCCCCCTGCACTTGTCTATCTCAGCAGAAAAGAAACACTTCCTCCTGCATTTCTGATGGGCTTGTCATCCATGGGCCATTTGTTCTGTGTTTTGTGCTCTGGTCACTTACCTTAGAGGTTTTGTAAAACCTCTTCCTTCCATTGGCTTGGTGGTCCTTCCCTGCTCCTCCTCTTCCCCTCAAAGTGATGCATGAGTTAACATATACAAATGTTTAAACAGGCCTTGGCATGTGATAAGCCTCCATACGTGTTAGCTATTACCCTGTGAACTGTTACCACAACTCCATCTATCTTTCCTGTCCTGAAGTCAAACAGTCCTGGCTATGAATCTCAGCTCTGCCATTTACCAATTGTGTGACTTTGGACAAGTTATTTTGCTTTTGAGTTTCCTTATCCTCGAAAAAAGGGTGTCATCGTAACTTCCTGGGACTGTTGTAGGAATTACACAAGACAGTGTGCAGTAGATGCCTAGTGTGTTGGGAATACCCAGTAAATGGTCCTCATTTTTATACTTGCTATTATCACCATTACAAAACCTTTTCTGAACTTCCCAGCTAGAGTTAATGTTTTCAGAACACTTCGATCCTCTCTTCTAGCTCTTTCATCATTCTGCCTTGTGGTGTAGCAATATGTTGGCTTTTCTGTCAGCCTTGCTGGCCAGGGAGGTGCCAGAGGGTAGGGCCAGCAGGCCTTTTCATTGTTCTGTTTCTCCAGTGCCTGATGGAGGCATCATTCCCAGCTCGCCCTTGAAGAAAGCAGGGCTGCAGGCTGCTCTGGGGATTCCCAGTGGGGCCAGCTCACCCTCTGTCCTGTGGTTGCAGGTGCGGGAATGGAAGGAGCAGGGTAGCAAGACCTTCATGTGCACGGGGCGCCCTGGCTGGCTCACTGTCTCACTACGTGTCGGGAAGTACAAGAAGACACACAAAAACATCATGATCAACCTGATGGACATTCTGGAAGTGGACACCAAGAAACAGGTGAGAGTAGCACTTTTCCGGGCTCTGGGAGCAGGTGGGGCACTGCCCCTGGTGCAAGTGACTCATAGGGAGATGATTTTAGCCAAGGGCATTGCAGAGTGGACAGGACCAATGCCCACAGTCATAGAAGATACTCCCTGCCATTGCTGTCCTCAAGCCTCACAGCCACCAGGGGAGAGATGGGTCATAATAGGTCAGGGGAACCCTTTGCGTTTCCACAGGAAGTCAGGAATGGGGAATTCGTGAGCAAAAATGAGAGGCAAAAAGGAATCTACTTACCCCTTCCTGATAAGGAAGTGTGCTGGTAAAAAATGGGCTACAGAAGTGACTGAGAGACATGGGTCTTGTTACAAGCTTCCTGGAAACCCTCTTGTTTAATAGCCTTCGAAATGTACATACTTTTTGGCCCATCTAGTAATTTTACTTCTCGAAACCTGGCTTAAGGAAAAAGGAAATAGGCTTCAGTATAAAGATACCCAACACAGAGTGATTATATCACAGCTTTATTTCTAATTGACAACAACACAATATCCAATAATAGGGTAGTCATTAAATATGGTATGTCTACTTGATGGCATTTTGTTATTATTGTGAGACCTTGGCCAAGTTACTTAATCTCTCTGTGCCATTTTTTTTAATAGCTTTATTGACGTATTTAAAGTGTGGTAAAACTCTTACCACAATCAAGACAACAAACATACCCATCACACCCCAAAATCTCCTCATGCTCCTTGGTAATCCCTTCCTCTAGCCCCTAGCCCTGCCTCTTCCCCTACCCGCCCCCCACAGCCTTAGGCAAACAATGACCTTTCTGCCACTATAAATTAGTTTGATTCTAGAGTTTATATAAATGGAATCATACAGTACTTTTTGTTTGTCTAGCCTCTTTCACTCAACATCTTTATTTGGAGATTCATCCATGTTGAAAGGTGTGTCAATAGTTCATTCTCTTTCACTGCTGAGTCATATTCCCACACATATTGTGTGGATGTATCACAGCTGGTTTATCCATTCACCTACTGATGGACATTTTGGCTGGCTCCAGTTTGGGGCAATTACAAATAAAATGGAACATTTGTGAACAGTCTTTGTATGGGCACATGCCTTCCTTTCTCTTGGGCAAATATCTAGGAATGGAATGGCTAGATCATAAGGTGGGTGTACATTTAACTTTTTAAGGAAGTGCCAAATTTTTTTTCCAAGTGATTGTAGCATTTTACATTTCCACCAGCAGCGTGAGTGTTGTTCTTGTTCCACATTGTAATAGACTTGATATGGTTAGTCTTAATTTTAGCCATTCTAATAGATGTGTAGTAGTTTTTCATTGTAATTTTAATTCACATTTCCCTAGTGACTAATGATCTTTCCATGTGCATGTTTGCTATTTGTATATCTTCTTTGGTGAGGCCTGATCAAATCTTTTGCCAATTTAAAAAAATTCAGGTGGTTTTCTTATATATTCTGGAAACATCTTTTTTTTTTTTCTTTTAAACTTTTAAATTAAGTGGTACCTGTACAGGTTTGTTATATAGGTAAACGTGTGTCATGGGGTTTGTTGTACATATTATTTCATCACCCAGGTATTAAGCCTAGTACCTATTAGTTATTTTTCCTGATCCTCTCCCTTCTCCCTCCCTCCACCCTCTGATAGGACCCAGTGTCTGTTGTTCCCCTGTATGTGTCCATGTGTTCTCATCATTTAGCTCCCACTTATAAGTGAGAACATGCGGTATTTGGTTTCCTGTTCCTGCATTAGTTTGCTAAGGATAATGGCTTCCAGCTGCATCCATGTTCTTGCAAAGGAACATGGCTGCATAGTATTCCATGGTGTATACGTACCACATTTTCTTTATCCAGTCTACCACTGATGGGCATTTAAGTTGATTCCATGTCTTTGCTATTGTGAGTTGTGCTGCAGTAAACATACACATGCATGTGTCTTTATGATACAATGGTTTATATTCCTTTGGGTATATATACCCAGTAATGAGATTGCTGGGTCAAATGCTGCTTCTGTTTTTTGGTCTTTAAGGAATCACCACACTGTCTCCCACATGGTTGAACTAATTTACACTCCCACCAACAGTGTATAAATGTTCCTTTTTCTCTGCAACTTCACCAGCATCTGTTATTTTTTGACTTTTTAATAATAGCCATTCTGACTGTGTCAGATGGTATTTCATTGTGGTTTTGATTTGCATTTCTTTAATTATCAGTAATGTTGAGCTTTTTTTCATATGCTTCTTGGCCACATGCTTGTCTTTTGAAAAGTGTCTGTTCATGTCCTTTTTATATTCACTTTTTAATGGGGGTTGTTTTGTTCTTGTAAGTTTGTTTAAGTTCCTTATTGATGCTGGATATTAGACCCTGAAACAACATCCTTTATTAGATTCATGATTTGCAAATATTTTCTCACAGTCTGTGGCTTCTCTTTTGAAAACCAGAAGCTTTATTTAGTTTTTCTTTTTGAGACAGAGTTTCACTCTGTCGCCCTGGCTAGAGTGCAGTGGCACGATCTTGGTTCACTGCAGCCTCCGCCTCCCAGGTTCCGGTGATTCTCCTGCCTCAGCCTCCTGGGTAGCTGGGAGTACAGGCATGTGCCACCACACCCAGCTAATTTTTTGTATTTTTAGTAGAGACGGGGTTTCACCATGTTGGCCAGGCTGGTCTCAAACTCTTGACCTCAGGTGATCTGCCTGCCTTGGCCTCCCAAAGTGCTAGAATTACAGGCGTGAGCCACCACGCCTGGCCAAATCAGAAGTTTTAATTTTTCCCAATTTGTTAATTTCTTCTTTTATGCATTGTGGGGGTTTTGTTTGTTTGTTTGTTTGTTTGTTTATATTTTTGTTTTTTGAGACAGAGTCTAGCTCTGTGGCCCCGGCTGGAGTGCAGTGGTGCTATCTCAGTTCTCGGCAACCTCCATCTCCCGGTTTCAAGCAATTCTTGTGCCTCAGCCTCCCAAGTAGCTGGGATTACAGGTGCACACCACCACACCTGGTTAATTTTTGTATTTTTAATAGAGAGGGGGTTTCACCACATTGGTCAGGCTGGTTTCGAACTCCTGGCCTCAAATGATCCACCTACCTTGGCCTCCCAAAGTGCTGGGATTACAGGCGTGAGCCACCGCGCTTGGCCTACTTTGCATTTTGATATTTTATTTAGGAAATCTTTGCCTATCCAATGTCAGAAAGGCTTTCTCCTATATTTTATTGTAGAATTTTTATAGAAACCTTAAAGTGAAGCTCTCTGGGCCTGGAGTTTTCTTTGTAAGGAAGTTTTTAAGCACAAATTCAATTTCTTTAATAGGTACTGGGCTCTTCAGTTTATTTATTTCTTCTTGGGTTAGCTTTGGTAGTTTGTGTCTCAAAGGTATTTGTCCATTTCACTAAGTTGTATAATTTATTGACATAAAGTTGTTCACAATACTTCCTTTAGATATCTGTAGCTATGTCAGGTCTTTCGTTCTTGATACTGGTATTTTGTTTCTGTTCTCTTTTTTTCCTGAACAGTCTGGCTAAAGGCTATTGAATTTTATTGATCTTCTCAAAAGCTAGCTTTGATATCATTGATTTTTCCCTTTGTGTGTGTGTGTTGTTTTCAATTTCATTGATTTCTGCTTTGGTCTTTATTATTTCATTTCTTTTCTTACATTGGGTTTAATTTTACTCTTTTTCCAGTTTTTTAAGGTTAAAGTTTAAGTCATTGACTTAGACCTTTTTTTTCTAATATAAATGTTTAGTGCTATAAATTTTCCCCTAAGCACTGTTTTAGAGGCAGCTCACAAATTTCTATATGTTTTCTTTTTATTTCAGTTCAGAATACTTTGATTTCCCTTTTGATGTCTGCTTTGACCCATGGATTATTTAGAAGTATGTTGATTTTTTATCACTAGTTTTGAGCAATTTTATTATGATGTGCTTTGGTATAGTTTTATTCATAATTCTTGTTTGGAATTTGGCATAATTTTTCATCAAATCAGGAAATTTGGGGGCCATTATTTCTTCATCTGTTTTTCTGTCCCCTCCTTTTTCTCATCTAGTTTAGAGACAGCTAGGCCATTTCAAGTTGTTCTACAGCTCAGGTCATTGAGGCACTGTTCATTTAAAAGAAATTTTTTTCCTCTCTTTCATTTTGGTTGGTTTCTGTTGCTGTGTATTTAAGTTAACTAATCTTTTCTTCTGCGATTTCTAATTTGCTATTAGTGCCATCCATTGTATCTTTCATTTCAGACATTGTGGTTTTCATTTCCAGAAGTTTGATTTGGATTTTTTTTTTTTTTTTTTTTTTTTTTTTTTCAGATGGAGTCTTGCTCTGTCCTCCAGGTTGGACTGGGTGCAGTGGCGTGATTTCGGCTCACTGCAACCTCCACCTCCTGGGTTCCAGCGATTCTCCTGTCACAGCCTCCCGAGTAGCTGGGATTACAGATGCGCACCACCGCGCCTGGCTAATTTTTTTGTATTTTTAGTAGACGGAGTTTCGCCATGTTGGCTAGGCTGGTTTCAACTCCTGATCTCAGGTGATCTGCCTGGCTTGGCCTCCCAAAGCACTGGGATTACAGGTGTGAGGCATTGCACCTGGCCGGATCTTTTTAATATATTCTTAATGTCTCTAGTTAAATTTTCGAATATAGAGAATATAGTTATTATAAATGTTTTGATGTCCCTGTTCACTAATTCTAATATCTATGTCAGTTCTGGGTCTGTTTGATTGATTGATTTTTCTCATTATGGGTTGAATTTTTCTGCCTCTGTATGCCTGGTAAAATTCTATTGGATTCTGACATTGTGATACTCTGACATTTTACCTTTTGGGGAGCTGGGTATTTTTATGTTCCTATAAATTTTGAGTTTTGCTCTAGGAGGCAGCTAAGTTACTTGGAAATAGTTTGATCCCACTGGGTCTCAATTTTTTAGATGGGGCCAGGGAAGTATTTAATCTTGAGTTTATTATGAGGCAAGATCATTTTGAGTACTCTACACAGTGCCCTGTGAATCATCAAGTTTTCTAGTCTGGCTTGTGGGAACAGACACTATCTCCTGCCCTGTGTGAGTCCCTGGTACTATTACCTATTATCTTTTTTTTTTTTTTTTTTTTTTTTTTTTTGAGACAGAGTTTCACTCTTGTTGCCCAGGCTGGAGTACAGTGGTGCAATCTCGGGTCACTGCAACCTCCGCCTCCCGGATTCAAGTGATTCTCCTGCCTCAGCTTCCTGAGTAGCTGGGATTACAGGCACCCACCACCACGCCCAGCTAATTTTTTGTATTTTTTTTTTTTAGCAGAGGCGGGGTTTCATCATGTTGGCCAGGCTGGTCTCAAACTCCTGACCTCAGGTGGTCCACCTGCCTTGGCCTCCCAAAGTGCTGGGATTATAGGCATGAGCCACCATGCCTAGCCTATTACCTGTTGTCTTTTCTGGCAGTTTTTTCCCTGGCTTCAGCCTCAGGTAATAGCCTCATGTGTATTTACCGATTAGTACTCAGTTGAATTCCCAAGGACGCCTTTTGCATTTCTTCAGTTTTTTCTCTGTGCAACTCTCTCCTCTCCAGTACTCTGTCCTGCACACTGTATTCACCTTGGTCTTCTGGAACTCTCACCTCTTTTTTTTTTTTTTTGAGACAGAGTCTCGCCCTGTCATCCAGGCTGGAGTGCAGTGGTACAGTCTTGGCTCACTGCAACCTCCATGGGTTCAAGTGATTCTCTTGCCTCAGCCTCCTGAGTAAGTGGGATTACAGGCGCTTGCCACCACACCCAGCTAATTTTTTGTATTTTTAGCAGAGGGAGGTTTTTGCCATGTTGTCGGGCTGGTCTTGAACTCCTGACCTCAGGTGATCCACCCACCTCGGTCTCCCAAAGTGCTGAGATTACAGGCGTGAGCCACCATGCCCAGCCTCACCTCCATCTTTTTAACTCTTAGAAAGTCCACTGGACTCCACCACCTGGGTTTCCCTCCCTGCACTGCCTAACTCCAGGCAGTTAAATGGGCCATCCCTAGAGCTCACCTTTTTTTAAAATAATTTTTTATTTTTTTATTTTTAGGTCTTGCTATGTTGTCCTGGCTGGTCTCGAACCCCTGGCCTCAAGCAGTCCTCCCGCCTCAGAGCTCACCTTGTTTCCTGTCTCTGAGGGATCACTAACTTTAATTGTTTATGTCCACTGCATTGAAAACTCTTATTTCATATATTTTGTCAGGTTTTTTTTTCAGGCAGCAGGGTAAATGTGGTTCCTGTTATTCCACTTCGGCTAGAAGTAGAAGTCCAAGGGATGTATACATTAAAAATCATGTGTTCCAAGAATGTGTAATGATAAGAGATGATGGTCATAGTATAGTGTTAAATTTTAAAAAGGCAAAACAGAAAATGAGATATGCTTTTGGTTTGTGTGTGTTGTGTTTAAAACATACAAAATAGTGTGAAAGGAAAATCTTGGGGCCCCCAAATTACTAAACTAAGGGAAAAGTCAAGCTGGGAACTGCTCAGGACAAACCTGCTTCCGCATTCTATTCAAAGTCATCCCTCTGCTCACTGAGATAGATGCATATTCTGATTAGCTCCTTTGGAAAGGCTTATCAGAAACTGAAAAGAATGCAGCCATTTGTCTCTTATCTACCTGTGACCGCAAGCCCTCTCCCTGCTTCAAGTTGTCCCCGCCTTCCTGGACAGAACCACTATACTTCTTACATATATTGATTGATGTGTTCTGTCTCCCTAAAATGTGTAAGATCAAGCTGTGCACCAGCCTCCTTGGGCACATGTTGTCAGGACGTACTGAGGCTGTATCAGAGGCGCACATCCTCAATCTTGGCAAAATAAACTTTCTGGATTAACTGAGACCTGTCTCTGATATTTGCGGTTCACAGTACCAATACAGTATGTGTGGGGAAAAAAAAACCAAAGTAAATACACTGTGTTATTAACATTAGTAATTCTGAAGAACTAGGAAGGGTGAATTTTTTTTTTGTTTGTTTGAGACGGAGTCTCACTCTGTTGCCTAGGCTGGAGTGCAGTGGCACGATCTCGGCTCACTGCAACCTCCACCTCCCAGGTTCAAGTGATTCTCCTGCCTCAGCCTCCCAAGCAGCTGGGACTACAGGTGCCCGCCACCACGCCTGGCTAATTTTTGTATTTTTAGTAGAAACAGGGTTTCACCAAGTTGGCCAGGCTGGTCTCAAACTCCTGAACTCAGATGATTCACCTGCCTTGGCCTCCCAAAGTGCTGGGATTACAGACATGAGTCACCACGACCAGCCAGGATGGGTGATTTTTGTTTTCTTCTTCACTTTTGCTGTATCTTCTAAGTGAATGAGTATTTCTCCTGTAATTTAGAAAAGGTTAAGTCAAATATTTAGTATAAAGATACTTGAAGGGCGAGGTTGAACACTAGCTAACCGAGAGCCAGAAATCACATTCCCTGTAATTAAAGGCAATGTTCTAGAAAGAGCCTGTAAAGGCTATATAGGAATCCCTGCAGTGAGTGTTTGGGAAGGTTTGAGATGACACCTTCTGTGTGCAGCAGCTCCCCTTGGGCCTGGCAGCCTCCTTTTGACCCAGGGTCTCTTTTCTTGTGTCAACAGATTGTCCGTGTGGAGCCCTTGGTGACCATGGGCCAGGTGACTGCCCTGCTGACCTCCATTGGCTGGACTCTCCCCGTGTTGCCTGAGCTTGATGACCTCACAGTGGGTGAGGACCCTATATTAACGGGCAAGAAGAGACACACGGTCCTAGGACCGGAGCTGATGGGCCTTGGCCACCCTCCATCTAGTCCTGGAATTGCCGCTATTCCATCTGTGACAGAAGTCATTCAGTCTCTTACTTGCCTGCTCCAATGACAGGGTGTTCACTGCCTGCTGTTCCATTTCTGAGCAGCTCAAGTTATCAGAAGGCACTTTTAATTTCTGGTTTGAATCTGCTTCCCTGTGACTTGTTCCCATTGCTCCAATTCCCCCCCATGGAACACACAGAATAAGTATAGTCTCTCTTCTCCTCCCATAGGATTCATAGCCCCCAAAGCCTCTTCTTCTTCAGGGAAAACACCTTCAGTTCTTTTAACTATTCCCATGGGACAGGGCTTCCTGTCACCCCTTCAACCCCCCTTTTCATTAAAGTCCCTCTCAAGATGAATGCACACAGATTTCTAGGTTGAGTCTGGCCAGAGGTGAGGTGTGAGTACACTTGACAAGGTCTGCTCGCCACTCCCTTCCTCTAAGGACACCCTCATGCTCCCATCTGAGCCCCTCCTTCCCTCTCCTGCTCTCTAGATTGACAGGTGGGAAATCTCCCCTAAGTCAACAGCCCCATTTCTGCTAGCCTGCCAAACCTCCCTCATGCTAGGAGGCCCCCCAGCTCCAACCCACCCCCAACCCTGTACCCACAGCTCTCCCTGCTGACACTGTGTGTGATGTCTCTGCAGGGGGCTTGATCATGGGCACAGGCATCGAGTCATCATCCCACAAGTACGGCCTGTTCCAACACATCTGCACTGCTTACGAGCTGGTCCTGGCTGATGGCAGCTTTGTGCGATGCACTCCGGTGAGTTCAGCAATGGGAGATGTCCATGCCAGCCTGCTCTGGGCATTAAGGATCCTGAGGTCAGGGAGGTGGCTCCTCTAGGTGTGCTTCATTCCCAGTACCTGTTCAGTCTGGGTCTATATCTGTAAACAAAAATTTGTGTAGCCCCTTATATGAGCTTAGGCAATGTTGTAAATCCATTATATATATTAAGGCATGCATGTTATCCTTCAACAACCTAATGAGGGAGGTTTATTATCCCTATTTTATAGATTATTATTAAATAATAGAAGGATTATTATCCCTATTTTATAGATAGGAAACTAAAGCTCAGAGAGATTATTTGCCATAGGTCACACAGCTGGGACTCACACCCCAGTAATCAGGCTCCCAGGTCCCTTAGCCGTTCATTATGCCATCCTGCCTCTCTGGAGAGGAAGTCAGGCCTTGGCATCAAAGCTGTGTGTCTTAACACTGTGAGGTACAGTCATGTGTCACAGAACAGTAGGGATATGTTATAAGAAACAAGTTGTAGGCAATTTTGTCATTGTGCAAACATCATAAGAGTGTAATTACATAAACCTAGATGAGATAGCCTACTTCACACGTAGGCTATTTGGATAGCCTACTACTCCTTGACTACAGACCTATACAGCATGGTACTGTGCTCAATACTGTAGGCAGCTGTAACACAATGGTATTTATGTATCTAAACATACCTATACTTGGAAAAGGTACAGTAAAAATACAGTATAAAAGATGAATGGTACACCTATGTAGCGTACTTACCATGCATGGAGCTTGCAGGACTGGAAGTTGCTCTGGGTGAGTCAGTGAGTGAGTGGTGAGTGAATGTGAAGTCCTGGGACATTACTGTACACCACTGTAGACTTTATAAACACTGTACACTTAGGCTACACTAAATTTATTTTTTGAAATTTTCTTTCTTCAATAATAAATACTGTTAGCTTACTATAACATTTTTACTTTATAAACTTTTTAAAAACTTTTGACTCTTGTAATAACACTTAGCTTAAAATGCAAACACATTGTACAGGTGTACAGAAATAGTTTCCTTCTTTATATCCTTATTCTATAAGCTTGTTTCTATTTAAACTTTTTTTTTAACTTGTTAAAGTTTTTTTGTTAAAAACTTAGACACAAGGCTGGGTGCAGTGGCTCACTCCTGTAATACCAGCACTTTGGGAGGCCAAGGCAGGTGGACTGCTTGAGCTTAGCAGTTTGAGACCAGCCTGGGCAACATGGCCTACAACATGGTCTACAAACAATACAAAAATTAGCTGGGCATGGTGATGTGTTCCTGTATTTCCAGCTACTGTGGAGGCTGCAGCAGGAGGATCACTTGAGCCTGGGAGGCAGAGATTGCAGTGAGCCGTGATTACGCCACTGCACTCTAGCCTGGGTGACAGAGCAAGACCCTGTCTCAAAGAAAAAAGGTCAAGACATAAACGCATGTTAGTTTAGGCCTACACAGAGTCAAGATTATCAATAACGCTTCCACTTCCGCATCTTGTCCCACTGGAAAGTCTTCAGGGGCAATAACACACATGGAGCTGTCATCTCTGACAACAATGCCTTCTTCTGGAATACCTCCTGAAGGACCTGCCTGATGCTGTTTACAGTTAACTTTTTTTTAATAAGCAGAAAGAGTACACTCTAAAATAACAATTAAAAGTGTAGTGTAGTGAATACATAAACCAATGACAGAGTCATTTATCATTATCAAGTATTATGTAGTGTACATAATTATATGTGCTATACTTTTATACAACTGGCAGTACAGTAGGTTTGCTTACACCAGTGTTACCATAAACACATGAGTATGACATTAGGATAGCTGTGATAGCAGTGATACCACTAGGCAACAGGACTTTTTCAGCTCCATTATAATCTTATGAGACCACCATTTTATCTGTGGCCCATTGTTGACTGCAACGTCTTTATGTAGCACGTAATCGTGTAAGTAAAAGTGATTAGAGAGGATGTTTTAGAAAAATAAGAAACACTTCTACCACCCAAACTGGGATTCAAACATTTAAAGCGTTTTACCTAAGGGGTGGGATAGGAGTGACACTTTAAATAACCTTGGATCTGTCCTGGCAGGTGTGAGGGACCCCTGGGATGGGAGGGACAGTTGGTCCTGTTGAAGTGGGTATTTCAGGGAGCCACCCGACTCCTTCACTTCACAGAAGAGGGCCCAAGGAAAGACTCCCAGCTTGGCAGCACTGGTCTTGGATGAGAGATACCCCTAGCAAGATTCACATCAATTCATCCTGCTTTCCTGAACGCTTGCGGGGCCCTGTCTTTTGACCTATTTATTATCGGCAGAGAAAGGAGACTGACATTTGTGAATTCTTTCCCTTCTCTGAGGCCCAGGTTCCTCACTGACAAATATGTGGTTGAGAGGAATAAGTAGGTCCTGTATGGGAAGCTCCTTGCATAGAGCTCAGCATGCAGCAAGTGTGTCATCTTCACTGCCATGGCCAGGAGAATGTGATTAGCTGTGGGCCCAAGGGGGAATTGGTGAGCGTAGTGCTGCTGTTCCTGAGGTTTCTGCCAGCCTGCTGCAGAGCCTCCTTGCTCCAGCTCTCCTGCCCTGCTGCATTCACTGTGCCCACCACCAAGAGCATTCAGGTTTTGTGGAGACTGCACAGGGCTGTCCTCTTAGTAAAGGCAAGACATGGCTGGACTTTTTCAAAAGAGCTTTCTTTACTAGAACTGAAGAATCCCAATCAGAATGGCCAAGGAAAAGTCAGTTGTCTGTGTCCAAGACAAATGTCAAAACAATAAAATGATGAGGTTGGACATTGATTTATGGAAGCAGATGAGGTGTTGTAGGAAAAACGCTGGCCGGGGAGTTAGGTGGTCTTGCCTGAGCCCTGGCATTGCTGCAGCTGACTTTTCTGGGAAGACTTTGGTGAGTCATGGCAGCTCTGAGAGACTCAGTTTCTTTACTTGTCATAAGGGGGTGCTAGCGCTCTCCCTGGGCTCTGTCGGGGGTGGATCCCACAAGCCGATGGACTGGGAAAGGCCTTGTAAATTTTAGTAATGGTTCAGAAGGGAGGCATTTTAATGTTCCCCAGCTACACTGCCTGACACCCACTAAAGGGTGTCAAGGCCTGGCCTTGGACTCCTGCCCTTGTGCAATGCCCCTGCCATTGTGGGTCGTTGGGCAGCAGTGCCAGTCCCAGCTTTTTCCTGAATAGCCTCTGGGTCAGGGGCTGTACCTAGATGGGAGAAGGAGGATGCTCTCTCAGTGAGGGTCCCTGAGACAGAGGGCAGTATTAGGTTCCATGTCATGTCGAAGCTGCAGGGAGGAAACTAAAGCCCAGCAAGCACAGTTTGTAAAGCTCATTGTTTGGGTTTATACAAGAGAGTGAGAGAATAGGGACTCTCCCAGGCTTTGCTCCCCCACTGACTGCATGCCACAATGTGGGGCCCAAGGTTTCAGCTCACAACACATCAATTCTGTCTCACAGTCCGAAAACTCAGACCTGTTCTATGCCGTACCCTGGTCCTGTGGGACGCTGGGTTTCCTGGTGGCCGCTGAGATCCGCATCATCCCTGCCAAGAAGTACGTCAAGCTGCGTTTCGAGCCAGTGCGGGGCCTGGAGGCTATCTGTGCCAAGTTCACCCACGAGTCCCAGCGGCAGGAGAACCACTTCGTGGAAGGGCTGCTCTACTCCCTGGATGAGGCTGTCATTATGACAGGGGTCATGACAGATGAGGCAGAGCCCAGCAAGGTAAGCCAGGGTGTCAGCTGCTGCTGACCAAGACTGGGGAGGCATGAGTGTGCTAGGACTGAGCCGGTTCCCGTATCCTGACCCTGGCAGCCACCTCTTCAAGGCTGCTGCCTGGGTCAACCCACCTGGGGTACAGGCAACAGGATCTATCATCAGAAATGTATTAGACAGTGATGGAAGCTTTCATCTACTCTGCCCCTACCACCTGCCTGGGATGTGCTTGTCTCTTAGTGGATGTAATCTTTGGTCCTTATAGCAAACCCATTTTATAGATGAGGAAACTGAGTCTTCAAGAGGTAATGTAGGCTGGGCACAGTGGCTCACACCTGTAATCCCAACACTTAAAAGAGGTAATGTAAACTTCCACAAGATTCGAGTAATCGATTTGATGCCTTGGAATCTAGATTGACATTCCTTCCACATATACCATGCAATTTTTATTAGCAGTTTTTTCTCCATTTAGAAAGGATTTGTGCTTATTGTAAGAGACTTGGAAAGGATTTGTGCTTATTGTAAGAGACTTGGAAGGTACAAACAAGTAAAAAGGAAAGAAAAGACTCCACCTGTAAATATGTCCCAAAGCCAGTGTTGCTAATGTGTTTGGTACACAGTTGGCCCCTTGTATCTGTGGGTTCCACAACAGTGGATTCAACCAACTGCAGATTGAAAGCGTTCAGGGGCCAAAAAACGGATGGTTTCATCTGAAATGAACATGGACAGACTTTTTTTCTTGTCATTATTCCTTAACTGTTACATAGCATTTACATTGTATTAAGTATTGTGAGAAATCTAGAGATGATTTAAAGTATACAGGAGGATGTGCATAGGGTTATATGCAAATACTAAATCATTTTATGTAAGGGACTTGAGCATTCATGGATTTTGGGGGATCCTGGAACAAATCCCCCATGGATACTGAGAGACAACTGTATTTATTTCCTCTTTCTCTGTATGGATTTTTTTGAAAGTTTTTAAATTATAAAAGTAATGTAACAATGCTGAAATATATAAAGAAAAAGTTAAAGTGCATCTCTTTACGCCAGGGTGTAACCACTTACGTATAACAGTTTTGTGTGCATTCTTCGAGACCTATTTATTTTTATTTATTTATTTTCTTATTGTTTTTTTTTTTGAGACAGGGTCTCTGTAGCCCAGACTGGAGTACAGTGGTACGATCACAGCTCACTGTAGCCTTGAACTCCAGGGCTCAAGCAATCCTCCTGCCTTAGCCTCCTAAGTAGCTGGGACTACAGGCGTGTGCCACCATGTCCAGTTAAAAATTTTTTTTTTTTTTTTGAGATGGAGTCTCACTCCGTCGCTCAGGCTGGAGTGCAGCGCGTGATCTCAGCTCACTGCAACCTCTGTCTCCCAGGTTCACACGATTCTCATGCCTCAGCCTCGTAAGTAGCTGGGATTACAGGCATGCACCACCATGCCTGCCTAATTTTTGTATTTTTAGTAGAAATGGAGTTCACCGTGTTGGCTAGGCTGGTCTCGAACTCCTGACCTCAGGTGATCTGCCTGCCTTGGCCTCCCAAGCCAAGTGCTGGGATTACAGGTGCGAGCCACTGTGCCCGGCCTGGTTAATTTTTTAATTTTTAAAATTTTTTTGTAGGGATGGGGTCTTGCTATGTTGCCAAGGCTAGTCTTGAACTCCTGGCCTCAAGCAGTCTTCCCACCTCAGCCTCCCAAAGTACTGGGATTACAGGTGTGAGCCACCACACCCAGCCGAGACCTATTTCTCTGTGTGTGTGTGTGTGTATATGTATGTGTGCATGTCTTCATTTCATTCTGTAATATCCCATTTTTGCATGTAAATAATTGGCCTAATTTAGCCCTTACTGACATTTATGTTGCATAAACTGTTTTGCTCTTACAAATAAGATTGCATTGAAGATTTAAGACTCACATTTATCCTGTCCTTCTGTACAAATATTTGTGTAGGATTGAGTCAGAAAAATGGACTTTGTTACACAAAGGTTTGAGCACATTAAATATTAATAGATATGACCAAACAGCCCTCGAGAAGAGCTGTGTTTATGCCTACTTGTAGTAATGGTCTGTGAGAACACCTTTTTCCCTACATTCTTGCCAACACTAAATAGGATCACTCTTTCATTTTTGCCAATCTGATAGCGTTAAAAATAGTATCTCGTTTTATTTTGCAGTTCTTGGATCACTTGTGAGGGTGAGCCTCTCTTTGCAGCATTTTGCAGTTTGTTTGTCTTCAGCAGTGATCACTTGGTTCACATTTGTCTTTTCTTGTTTATTGTTTTTTGTTTTGAGACAAGGTCTCACTCTGTCACCCAGACTGGAGTGCAATGGTGCGATCTTGGCTCACTGCAACCTCCACCTCCCAGGCTCAAGCAATTCTCCTGTCTCAGCCTCCCGAGTAGCTGGGAATACAGGCGCATGCCACTGCACCTGGCTGATTTTGGTATTTTTAGTAGAGACGGGGTTTCGCCATGTTGCCCAGGTTGGTCTTGAACTTCTGAGCTCAGGTGATCGCCTGCCTCGGCCTCCCAAAATGCTGGGATTACAGGCGTGACCCACTGCACCCAGCCTTTTTCTTGTTTATTGTGATAAGCATTTCCCCCTGTTGTTACATTGCCTTCATAACCGTCATTGTTAATATCCATCTTTTATTAGAACTATTACATTGCCTTCATAACCATCACTGTTAATGTCCATTCTTATTAGAATTAAAGAATCCCAATTAGAATGGCCAACCTTGCATTGCACCTTGCACTGAGGAAATGAATGCCCTATTGCTGCCCATAGTTGGAAATTTAAGTTGCTTCCAATTTTTTTATTACTTTAATTAATGGAGCAATGAACATCTTTTGTCTGTAATTTGAGTAATATCTTTTGTTTTTTTTTGAGACAGAGTCTCGCTCTGTCACCCAGGCTGGAGTGCAGTGGCGGGATCTCGGCTCACTGCAAGCTCCACCTCCCAGGTTCACGCCATTCTCCTGCCTCAGCCTCCCAAGTAGCTGGGACTACAGGCGCCCACCACCACGCCCGGCTAATTTTTTGTATTTTTAGTAGAGATGGGGTTTCACTGTGTTAGCCAGGATTGTCTCGATCTCCTGACCTCGTGATCCACCCACCTCGGCCTCCCAAAGTGTTGGGATTACGGGCGTGAGCCACTGCGCCCGGCCAATTGGAGTAATATCTTAACATAAAATCGCAGATCAAAGGATAGGCATCCCTTAAGACTCTTAATCTATACCTATATACATACTTAAAACATTTTAAAGTTGTGAAGGGCTATAAAATCATCCGGTACAATCCTCTCTACAAATAAGGAAATGAGGCCCAGAAAGGGAAAGAGACTTCTCTGAAGACACACAGCTAGCACAGAACAGATTTAAATTCCAGCTTCTGACTCCTGGTTCAGTGTCGGTTCCCTGACATATCAGCCTGCAGACTTTAGCACTATGCAAACATTGCTCCCTGTGGGACACTGCGGTAAGTGCTGGAGGTCCTGGAACAGCGGTGGCAATACCGGACATTGAGCTGAAGTGCTCTGGCCCTCCTGGGCCCCTGGATCTGCCTGAGGCCAAAGCTCAGACAGTGTGTGTCACCTAGCACCAAGTCACCTAGCAAGGACATCTAGACCAGAGCTTTCCAGCTGCTCTGAGGTGTTCCCTTGAGGCTCTCAGGGGTAGGAAAGCTGAGGAGGGATGGGACCAAGGGGAGTCACCACCCCCACTGTACCCAAAGTGGCTCTGCTGCCATCCATTTGATGTATTAGATGCTCCCTAAGATTATGATTTGGCAGAGGGGTTTGCCCAGCTTTTGAAATATTTGGAGACCTGATCTGATTCCCTTATTTCCCAAGGAGAAGACTGTGAGGCACAGAGAGCCTTACCCAAAGGCCCTCCCAGAATCAGCAGCAGAGGGATATTTGCCAAGTGCCCCAGTGAGCAAGACCCTGATACCTGAGGGAACAGGGCTGGGGCAGAGTGGTGGATGCCATTAGACATCTGGGCATTTCATTTTAGAAGCATTGCTTCCAAACATTTCTGTTTCTAAGCATTCAGGAATTTGTCCCTGTGTGCCAGGCCCTGTGATGGGCCCTCTGCAGGCACTGCCCCGTGTAAACATTGCTGCAATCCTGTGAGAAGCAGCCTACCCCCATTTCACAGAGGAGGCCCAGAGATAGGAAGTGGCTTGCAGTCAAGGGCTGGGGTGGACTGGAGCTCATGCAGCCACCTGGCCTCCTCAGCTGGTGTGTGCCTGGAAAAGACAGACTATCTGGGTTCTTTCCCATGTCCTGGGCTTCTCTGCATGGCTCCTGATGCATCAGTGAGCACCAGGAGCGCCTGTATCCAGGTGGCCCTAAGTCTCACTTTCATTATGCAGCTGCTGCCACTGCCAGGTATGTGACACACCTCACCTGGGGTTAGATCAGGTTGCTCTGTTTCCTGCTGGGTTCCCCTGTTCACATTAGCAGGCAGAGGCCAGCGTGAGTGTTTTTTGCGCTGCCCCATACCATCCACACCAAAACTAATTTGGGCAAAGAGGCTCTTTAGCCCCAGTTTCCTCCCTGCAGAGTGGCCTCACCAGCAGGGTGGCCTTACCAGCAGGGTGGGCCTGCACAAGCGGGTGGCACACAGATAAGCTGCAAGTGCTGGAGGCCAGAGATCCACGGCAAAGGGTTGCCTGGCTGTAGGGTAGAGCAGGTCAACAAGGGAATGGGTGGGGACTGATACTTCAGCCACCTGTGGACCAGGCACCGTGCTTGGCACTTTCTACATCATCTCTTTTAGTCTTCCAGAAATGCTAAGTAACCTGCCTAGGCTCTGCTAAGTGTGTTGTAAATGGAAAAAGCAAATTGGCAAACAGTACGTGTAAGATGGTCCCATTTTTCAGGAGGCTGAGGCAGGAGAATGGCGTGAACCAGGGAGGTGGAGCTTGCAGTGAGCCAAGATCGTGCCACTGAACTCCAGCCTGGGCGACAGAGCGAGACTCTGTCTCAAAAAAAAAAAAAAGATGGTCCTATTTTTTAAAAACAGTGGGCATATGTATGTAATTTCTAATAGACAAATAACTCCCACAAAGTATGTATTTTTATTGTCATGTTACATGTGAAGAAACAGGCTCAGAGATGACCTGCCTGGGTGTGTCCCCAGCTGCCCACCCTAAAGCTTGTGCTTTTCCAGGATCCCCCCTGCCTCTCCCCGAGAGCATCTGCCAGAATTCATTTATGGATGAGGAAGCTGAGGCCAGGAGAAGCTCAGCCATCCCAAGGCACACAGCACATTGAGTCATGACCATTTAGGGCTGCAGGAGACATCAGCTCAATAGAAGATTTGGGTGTGGGAGCCCCCAGGGCCAGGGAGGTATGAGCCTTATTCATGTGAGCATCCTCCAGACGATGGTGGCTGCCTGGGGAGTGCTGTACCCGGAGGACTGTGGAGCTTGGTCCAGGGACAGCAGGGAAAGTGCCATGACCAGTTGGTGCCATGAGCCCTGGGTTGCACTGAGGGGCTGACCCATTCCCAGAGTTCGTGCTTCCCTGGCCTTGGGGAAGGTGGGAAGGGAGGGAGGGAGGGAATTCCCCTGCATGGGGCACTGCATCAGGGCAGTTAAATGTTTAACTCTGTTAAACACTTGCACCAGGCTAGGCGGGGTCGCTGAGTTCTCTAGACTGTCGGGGACTCACTGTTTGGCCCTGGGCACACACCACTTAACCTCTTTGAGCTCCTGCTCTCTCTGCTAGAGGATACCCGCTGTGCCTAACCTCACCAGCTTTCAAGAGTCTCAAAGGCAGTAATAGACATGAAAGAGCTTTGAAAAGGCCAGGAGTGCTGAACAGAAGCCGGGTGTCGCTGTTACACCCCGATGGTGCTGGGCGCTTGTCTGCAGGCTGATCACAATGCCCTCTGTCATTTCAGCTGAATAGCATTGGCAATTACTACAAGCCGTGGTTCTTTAAGCATGTGGAGAACTATCTGAAGACAAACCGAGAGGGCCTGGAGTACATTCCCTTGAGACACTACTACCACCGCCACACGCGCAGCATCTTCTGGGAGCTCCAGGTGAGGCTTAGGTTTCTGTAGCCCTGGCTCCTCCAGGCCAGCTGGGCAGGGAGCCCGGACAGTTAACACTGTAGCCATACTCTCTCCCTTCAGGGTAAAGAGTGGCTTTGTCCTAAGGAACTGCAATGCCTTCTTAAGCAGCAACACAGTCGTTTCCTTCTGAAGGAACCAACTACCTTCAGTTCAAGCAGCAGGCTCTTAGCAAGCATCTGCTTGGTGCTGGGGAGTAAGCCCCTGGGCCGGTACTTTGGGGAACACAGACCTGTTCCGCCCTTGAGGAAGGGTTAGCCTCTAGCCACGGTGAGCAGACAGATCCCTGCACTGTAAAGGGCCGCAGGAACATTAGTAGGAAGTGGCTAGTTCTGCCTAGGGCTCGAGGTAACAGCCAAGCCTGGCTGTGAAAGGTGAGTGAGAATTTGCTGTTGCATGTGTAGATGGGTGGGTGGATGAGGAGCAGTGACACTTTAAGTGGGGGAAGGTCAGGAAGAACCCCTCAGGAGATGACTTTGTGAGCAGGGACCTGAACATAGGGAAGGCAGACCAGGAACAACTCTGGGGAGGACTCTGGAACTCTGTTCACAGGCAGAGGGACAGCCAGAGCCCAGGGCTTGAGCTGGGCTAACAGGAAATTAAACATTATAAAATGGACAGTTCAGGGTAGTTTAGTACATTCACAGTGTTGTGCAACCACTACCTCTGTGTAGTTCCAAACATTTTCATCTCTGAAAAGGAAACCCTATACCCATTAAGCAGCCACTCCCTATTCTCTCCCCTTTCCCCAGCCTGTGGCAACCACCAATTCATCTTCTGTCTCTGCAGATTTACTTATTCTGGATATTTCACATATATGGAATCATTCAGTATGTGCCTTTTGTGACTGGCTTCTTTTACATAGCATAATGTTTTCATGTATCAATATTTCATTTCTTTTTATGGCGGGATAGTAGTTCATTATATGAGAGACCACATTTTGTTTTGTCACTCATCTGTTGATGGACATGTGGGTTGTTTCAACCTTTTGGCTACTGTGAACAGTGCTGCTACAAACCTTCATGTGCATGTATTTGTTTGAATACTTGTTTTCAGTTCTTTGGGATATAGAACTAGGAGTGGAATTGCTGGGTCATATGCTAATTCTGTGTCTAACTTTCTGAGCAACAACCAAACTCTTTTCCACTGAGGCTGTGCCATTTTTCATTCCCACCAGCAATGTATGAGCGCTCTATTTTTTCAACATTCTCACCAACACTTGTTATTTTCTGGTTTTTAAATTATTAGTATTATTATTATAGCCATTCTGGTGGGTTTATGGTATTGACTTGCATTTTCCTTGAAATTAATGATGCTGAGCATCTTTTTATATGCATGTTAACCGTTTTGTATATCTTCTTTGGTGAAAAGTCTATTTGAATCCTTTGCCACCTTTTAAAATTTGGTCATTTGTCTTTGTTGTTGAGATGTAAGAGTTCTTTGTGTATTCTGGATACTAGACCCTCATCAGATATATGATCTGCAAACATTTTCTCCAATTCTGTAGGTTTCTTTTCATTGTCTTGGTAACGTCCTTTGATGCACAGAAGTTTTTAATTTAGATGAATTCCAATTTATCTATTTTCCCTTTTGTTTGTGCTTTTAGTGCCATATATAAGAATTTATTGTCAAGTCCAAGCCCCTTTGTTTTCTTCAAAGACCTTTATAGTTGCAGCTCTAATCTTTAGGTTGTTGAGTGGGGTAGGAGTCCAGGCTCCATTCTTTTGCTTATAGCTATCCAGGTGTCCCAGCAAGGCTGCATGTGTTTGAAAAACAGCAAGAAGCCTTCGGAGCCAGCATGCCCACGCTGAGCTATGGTGAGGAATGAGGTCAAACAGGCACCAGAGGCTAGATCATATGGCTCCTTGTAGGTTAGGAAGGACTTTATATTTTATTCTAAGTATAATAGGAAGCCAATGAGGGCTTTGAACAGGAAAGTGGCATGGCCTGATTTTTGTTTTAAAAGAATAACTGTGACAGCTGGATAGAGTGGATGGGGACGGGAGTGGACAAGAGTGGAAGAGTAGAAGAAAGAAGATACTGTTGTCTGGGCAGCAGCAGAGGAGAAGTGTCAAATCTGGGAGATGCAGTGCAGGCTGAACCAACCAGCAGGATTTCCAGACAGATTGGCCGTGGATGTGATTCAAAGGTTCAGGGCCAAGGTTGACTGCCTTTTTTTTTTTTTTTTTTTTTTTTTTGAGGCAGAGTCTTGCTCTGTCACCCAGGCTGGAGTGCAGTGGCGCAATTTCGCCCACTGCATGCTCCGCTTCCCGGGTTCATGCCATTCTCTTGCCTCAGCCTCCCAAGTAGCTGGGACTATAGGCGCCCACCACTACGCCCAGCTAATTTTTTGTATTTTTAGTAGAGACGGGGTTTCACCATGTTAGCCAGGATGGTCTCGATCTCCTGACCTCGTGATCCACCCGCCTCGGCCTCCCAAAGTGCTGGTATTACAGGCGTGAACCACCGCACCCGGCCTGGTTGACTGCCATTTGAAACATGGGGGAGGGGACTGGAAAGGGGAATCAGAAGCCATTCAGATGTCCAGGTGGGATGACAGCAGGAGCCAGTGACGTGTGTCGGGACTTCAGGAGTTCAGTGGAGGTTGGAGCCCTATATACACATTTCTCAGCCACAGAGAAATGTTTTCTAAAGCCATGGAGGGAGATGAGTGAGGGCAGATAGAGAAGACCCTGGGACACCTTGCAGGTTAGGGGAGGAGGAACTAGCCAAGGGCAGGAGAAAGTGCTGTCAACCAGGGCAGGGGAACAAAACCAGGAGGATGTGGCATCCCGGAAGCTAAGGGAAGACTGTTTCAGGAGGAAGACCAGCAACTGTGCCACATGCTGCTGAAGGAGATGAAGACAGACTCGACCTCTGGATTTGGCCATAGGAATGTCATCATTGACTTTAAGCAATAGGGGTGAATCCTTGACCAGTGGGTTTGAGAGAGAACTGGAGACAAGGCGGTGGACACAGTGAAAACAAACCTGAGGCTCACTATCAAGAGAGGCAGAGAAACAGGGTGATGGCTGGAGGCGGGTGTGGGGCCAGGTGAAGGTACTTTGTCTGTGTGATTGCTTTAAGATGGGAGAGATGGCAGTCATGACAGTGATCCAGTGGAGGGGAAAATGACAATGCAGAAGAGAGGGTATATTGATAGGGTGAAGTCTTGAGTAGGGGAGTGGAGTGGCTCCTGAGCTCAGGTGGAGAGGCTGCCTTTTGATGGGCACATGGAAAGTTCATCCAGTTGTCAGGAGGGAAGCAGTACTAATGGCTACAGTTGCTACTAATGGGAGGACCATAGGGTGGTGGGAGGGTGTGGGAGTTCTCTTCTGATTGCTTCTGTTTTCTCAGTGAAATAAGGATTTCAGCTGAGATGAAAGGGGAGAGGATTTTGATGGTTTGAGGAGAGAAGAGATGTGAAGCTGTCCCTCGGAGAGTGGGAAATGAGTTAACTGGGGAAACACTGTGGCATTGCCAGGCAGCACTGGGCCTACCAGGGATTCACACTCATGAATTTACAGTGAGACCAGCCCTGTGTTTGTGGGTTTTCACCCAGGAATCTGTGTTGCTGGGGTACAGAGTAGGCAGAGAGTTATATTTAACCATGGCTGAGGTTTTGCAGGGAGTGTGATGTGTAGGCAAGAGTGAGGACCCAAGGGTGTGTTATGATGAAATCTAAGCCAGCTATGGAGGGGAGGCCGGATGTGAGAGGCCCCCAGGGACTGACAAGGGACTGATATGGTGGACAGGATGCCCTGGGTGGAGTGGAGCATTGAAGTCAGGGGACTAGAGGGCGTAAGCTAGGAAGAGAGGCGGTGATGGCTGAGAGCAAACACTTGCAATGGAAGCTATGGAGACTGTGAATGTAGGGCAGGGTGACAGAGCCTAGGGGTCAGCAAACTTTCCTAAAAGGCCAAACAACAAATATTTTAGGCATTCCAAGCTACAGAATCTATCACAGCTCCTCAGATCTGCCACATGGAAACAGCCAGGGATGGTACATAAATGAATAGGGATGACTGGCCCCAGTAAAACCAAATTTACAAAAACAGTCACTAGGCCACATGCTCACTTCCGCTCCCACACTGGATCCCCACGGGTAGTAATTTCTGTCCCCTCCTCCAGGGTATGTTGTGAGAGCCAGTGGCCAAGGACATGTGGAAGATAAGATCACTGGAATGTAAAGAAAGAAGGCCAAGGGCAGAGAGGCCAGGCGTGGTCAGGACCTTCTCTGTGGGTTTTAAATTACCAAAAGTTTTTTTTTTTTTTTTTCTTTTTTGAGATGAAGTCTCGCTCTGTCGCCCAGGCTGGGGTGCAGTGGCTGGATCTCGGCTCACTGCAAGTGCCGCCTCCCGGGTTCATGCCATTCTCCTGCCTCAGCCCCCCGAGTAGCTGGGACTACAGGCGCCTGCCACTGCACCTGGCTAATTTTTTTTTGTATTTTTAGCAGAGACGGGGTTTCACCATGTTAGCCAGGATGGTCTCGATCTCCTGACCTCGTGATCCGCCCGCCCCGGCCTCCCAAAGTGCTGGGATTACAGGCGTGAGCCACTGCGCCTGGCCTCACCAAAAGTTAATGTTGAAGAAAGTGACGTTTTTCCAGGAACCGGTGAAAGGAACCAAGGATGATGGGATTCGGGGAATTCAGTGATCCACACTCTAGTGAGGGGAGCCATGGTTATCAGAGGAGGTATTGGGCACATGTTTCCAAGTTTCTGAGGTTGGTTTCTGGGCATGGGGGAGGAACAGAGATCTGGAAGCAGTAATGAGGGGCCAGGGGGACCCTACCTCACCTCCGTGTATCCCAGTGGCAGGAGGGTTGTAGGGGAGAAAATGATACCACTTAAAGAGGGCTTCAGGGTTCTAGTTAACAAGGAGGGGAGAGGAATGTTCAGAGAAGAGACTGAGAATGGAGAGGGTTTTGTTAAGGTCAGACCATGAGAGCAGGGCTTGAGAGGAAAGGCGGTGGGGCAGTGGCAAGTGAAGTCAGATTAAGAGATGCTGCATTGCTGTAGTAGGCTAAGATCACAGTAACAAGGCATCTGGCAGGCCATGGTGACTAAGGACATTAGAATGTAAGGCATGACGGAATTATACCTGGTGGGCTTCTAGGAGAGGGTGATTGGTCAGTTCTGACATTGGGCAAGTATCTTAAGCAGAATGTGATTGGGCGGTGGTAGGGGTGGAGGAGTGTAGGGGTGAGGGTCTCATCATGGCCTGGAGGGGCTATGGGGTCTCCCCCACACCCATTAGTCTTAATCTTGGGCAATGTCAAGGCCCACAGCAGGTGGTGGGCAATTTTGCCAAAAGCAGAAGCCACTATGAGTCCTTCTTGATCCCTGCCAAGAGCAGTGTTAAGGTTGTGGAGTGTGGTTTTGTTAAGAGAAAGGAGAGGAACTAGTGAAAGAGGATCAGAAAGATAACAGCAGTGGTTAACATTAGCCACTCCCAATGTGGGTGGACGTTAATGCTGAACACTTTCCACGCATTATCTTCATCTTCCCAACAACCCTCTGAGAGTAGATATTAGTGTTATTTCC
This sequence comes from Homo sapiens, assembly GCF_000001405.40. NCBI lineage: Eukaryota > Metazoa > Chordata > Mammalia > Primates > Hominidae > Homo > Homo sapiens. Next base: position 54,859,726 of record NC_000001.11, on the reverse strand, counting down.
ATTCCATAGATGAGAATACTGAGGATTAGGTTATCCAAAGTAACTACCAGCTTGGTCAACATGGCAAAACCCTGTCTCTACTAAAAATACAAAAATGAACCAGGTGGGTTGGGGCATGCCTGTAATCCCAGCTACAAGGGAGGCTGAGGCAGGAGAACCCAGGAAGTGGAGGTTGCAGTGAGCCAAGATCACGCCAGTGTACTCCAGCCTGGGCAACAGCGAGACTCTGTCTCAAAAATAAGAAAAAAAAAAGGAACTGTTGGAGACAAAGTAAATAACACAACTCAGAGAATGAGTGTATTAGTGATCTATTGCTGCATAATGAACAAAACCAAAAGTTAGAGATTAAAGCAGCAAACATTTATTATATCATAGTTTCTGAAGGTCAAGGATTTGGGAGTGGCTGATCTGGGTGGTCCTGGCTCAGGGACTCTCATGCTGTGGGCTATGGCAGTAGTCATCTGGAGGCTTGACTGGGGCTGGAAGATCTGCTTCCAGCTCACATGGATGTTGACCAGAGACCTTACCTCCTTGCCACATGGGTTCCTCCAGTGACCTCATGACAAAGCAGCTGGCTTCCCCCAGAGCAAGTGATCCAAGAGAGAGACCAAGGAAGAGTCTGCAGTGCCTTTTATGACCCAGTCGTAGGTCACACCTCTCACTTCCACCATATTCTCCTTATTAGATCAGAGTCACTAATCCAGCCCATACTCAGGGGAGGGGCACTGAGCTCCACTTCTTGAGAAAGGACTAGCAAAGAATCTAGGGGCATATGTTAAAACCGCTACAGAAGGCCGGGCGCAGTGGCTTACACCTGCAATCCAGCACTTTGGGAGGCGGAGGTGGGCGGATCACCTGAGGTCAGGAGTTTGAGACCAGCCTGACCAACATGGAGAAACCCCATCTCTACTAAAAATACAAAATTAGCCAGATGTGGTGGTGCATGCCTGTAATCTCAGCTACTCAGGAGGCTGTGGCAGGAGAATCACTTGAACCCAGAAGCGGAGGTTGTGGTGAGCTGAGATCGCGCCATTGCTCTCCAGCCTGGGCAATAAGAGTGAAACTCCATCTCAAATAAATAAATAAATAAAAATAAAAATAAAACTGCTACACAGAGCTAGGATTCAAAATGAGGTTTGTCTTACATATTTGTTCTGTTAAGTAAACACTGGCCCACACTGCCTTCAGGTAAAAGAAGAATCTGGAAGAATAGGTGTGTTCAGCCTACATTTGCATGCAGGAAGTGAACGTTCAGACCTCTAGGGATCTGTCATTGTGCTGATCTGTCATTGTGTGGTAGTAGGGAAGTGGGACTGGGAAGAGGGAGAAGTCAAGCTGTGGTGCAGTCACAAGGAAGACCTCAGCTAACCCACAGGCAGCCCTGGGGTAAGATGGCCCTCCAGAGTTGTGTCACCTTTAGGCCAGTGGGCTAGGACTTTATACCAAATGCTGCCCCATCAACCAGTCATTGTGCAGACTGACCTTGGATGAGGCAGCTCCCTTCTGCCAAGGGCAGTTCTCCCTGAGTGTCAGCAGTCAGCACCCTGTGCAGCTGGGGGAACGGGTGCCTCCCTGGAGCGGGCATCTGCGCGCAGCATCCTCTACAGTAGAAATGCAGAAGACAAGACATTTCTAGAGGGGAGGAATAAACAATTTCAAATGCATGCCTTTTCCCCCCCTCTGCTGGGATAACTCTTCTCCTCCCATTGGCGGCCTTTCCCCCAGGTTCCTCCCTGATGAGTAAGGCCCTGGAATGAACCAAGTGTGACCAGGCCTGCGTGCTAAGCCCCTTAACAAGCTGCATTCTGGGTGATTAGTCCATTCTGGTCACACCTGTGCCAGGCCTGGCTGGTCCAGTCACTTCCCTTCCCCCAGCTTGGTCAATCAGCAACACGCGGGGTCAGGGTTAGCTGCATAATTTGTAGGGCCAGGTGCAAAAAGCAGGCCAGAAGTGCCATTAAAGGTACTAAATATAAAGCTTTTTTCTTTCTCCATGGTCTGTCTCTTGTCATAAATATTTGCAACTTAATGCCATTCTAAGTGAAGAAAAATTTAAATTATTAGTATGAATTTTACTGTTCACTGTTTAAATGTTACATTTAACTCCTCATGTATATGTATTTCTTGGTTTCATTAAGAATGCTGCATAAACTCTTTTTACTTCTCTTTGTTACATGCACATTCTACCAACACTACCTTTGACTTACGGTAAGGAAGGACTGAAAGAAAAGGAGCCAAGCTGGGCAGCTCTGTCTTGTCATTCCTTTTTATGTCATCATTTTAGTATAAGCGGTTGGCTAACACAGGGAGTTAACACCAGTAAGAAAGGATAAGATAGGGTCCTTGTGTTCATAGAAGGCCATTGCCCCAGGACTTCCTGCTGGGGCTGGGGTTCCTGGCTCAGGCTGGGCCCCTTAGATTTGCCATGGGGCCCTACAGCCAGTGAGCAAGGATGGCCAGAGAACAAGGGCTGCAGTGAGATTCTCTGCAATGACTGGCCTCAGCAAGGGGGCAGCTTAGGACCCTGACATCCCAGGTCACTAAGCCACATAGGATAAGTAATGGGTGGACAGAAGCGGGAAAGGAGAAGGGCAGGGCACATGTTTAAAACTTGAACTTTCTGAGGCTAAGACTGGAAAAGGAATGGTTTCAGCTGATATATTTGGATACCAGTTGACTATTTTTAGGAAAAAAACACAAATGGCTTTTAAACATCACAGTGTGATACAGTCTAACTCAGAATTAGAGACAGGCAAAACAGAACTCCAGGAGTCTCATTTTTCACCTATCAGAATGAATGACAGTGATCTAGAAGTTTGATGTCACATTGTGCTGGCAAGGGAGAAGGGAAACAGTGTTCT